>NC_000002.12:24327937-24479452 GCF_000001405.40 Homo sapiens | reverse complement strand
CCACTGCACTTCAGCCTGGATGACAGAATGAGACTCTGTCTCAAAAAAAAAAAAAAAGGAAAGAAAAATATTGAAGTTGAAAGAAAGGAAAAAAATTGACCAAACAAGGTTTAGGGGATGAGATTAAAGCCACAAGTGGTGCCATGACTTCTTGGCTTATTTTATTCTGCCATTAACTATCTACTTGACACTAAACTCCATGAGGACAAGGACCACATCAGGTTTTGCTTACCATGTGTCATCCAGTACTTGGCACATAGTAGGAACTCTGTAATATCTGTTGGAAAAATGAATGAACAAATGATGAGGGAACCTTCCAGTGCTTTACTTACGTACTCAGCAAAAGTTTAAGTCCAAATTAAAGAAGGGGAAAAAAAAAGGCAAGAAGGAGATTGACATATAAAACAGATGCCTTCTCTGGCCGATATACTGGATGAAATCCAAGAAACCCAGACAAATTTTCAGTAGTCACTGCCATAGAGAGAAACTGACAGTTCTGGGGACTTCAGTGCTGATGTGAATTGGAACTGTGCACTACAGCATAAAGTTATTCATCATCCTGAGTTTTCAATGCCAAATGAAATTTATCATGTAAATCTTGATGTGAATAGCAGAGTAGCTGGTGCCCTTGATAGAAATTTAACAAAACAAATAGAGACATTATACATATATATAACGGAGATATTAAAAATTTTTAACAACGGGTATGACTTAGAAGCTGACCAACAGACCAACCCTAAGCCACCAGTGTGGCTGCACCTGTCCATACTAACTATCAGCACTGCACGTGGCTATTGCTTATATTGATGCTCAGACACCAACAGTGCTGTTTTTAAAAGGCTCTTTGCTGAGTGGAAGAGAGAGTGTGCAAAGCAATGTCGCATGCTACAGAAGCAACCTCTTCCCCACAAATTCTTAGCCTGATGCTTCTCTGTCCAGTAGAGCAAGGCCTTACTCACTGTTCCTTCAACTTTGTCCTCCAAACTTCAGCAATCCCTCATACTGGCCACTTGCCTTGATATCTGTCATCCTTGACTAATCTAGTTCGTGAACTGGCAGCACCTGTATGAGACCTGCCCTTCCTTAATCCGTATGCCAATTACCTTCACTAGCCTGCAACTGTCCCCAATATCTGCAACCCACTCTCATCATGTATCTAACAGGCCAGGTTCCTGACAAGACTTAATCACAGAAAATATTCAAAGAAAATTTTATGACATTAAGGACTGATGGTAGAAAACTTATCTTCAAGAAGTTGCAGACTGATAATTATACTAGGAGATAAGATTATAATCCCTTGAGCACTGAGGGATCTGTGAGAGGATTTGTGGGGTGCTTCAAGAGCAGGTCTTAAAAGATGGTTAGGATTCAGAAAAGAAGGGAAGAAGTAGGGGGCACTCCTAGAAGAGAGAACAATGTAAACAACAGCAGAGGGTTGGAAATGCTTTATTTTCTATTAGCGAGAGAGTACATACTTGTCCCAGGTAGAGAGGTATGTTCGTGTAAAGAAAGTGCACTGCATTTTGGAGGGCTTTGTTGTTTGTTTGTTTTTTTTGTTTTGAGATGGAATTTCGCTCTTGCTGCCCAGGCTGGAGTGTAATGGTGCGATCTTGGCTCACTGCAACCTCCCCTTCCTGGGTTCAAGCAAGTCTCCTGTCTCAGCCTTCCAGGTAGCTGGGATTACAGGCGCATGCCACCATGTCCAGCTAATTTTTGTATTTTTAGTAGAGACGGGGTTTCATCATATTGGTCAGGCTGGTCTCGAACTCCTGACCTCAGGTGATACTCCCACCTTGGCCTCCCAAAGTGCTGGGATTATAGGTGTGAGCCACTGCACCCGGCATTTGGAGGGTTCTCAAGACACGGTCCGTGTTGTAACTCCTTCTGTGCTATTCCAGGCTGGATCTGGGAGCTGAGGCAGGAAAAGAAGTAACAAAAGATTGACACATGGGATTGCAAAGTGTAGGGTGGAGGGAGATCAAGAGACAGCGAACTGGGGCGTGGCTAGAAGCAAGATAAACTAATCAGAGAGGCAGAACTAGTTATGAGGTAACCAGGCTGACTTAGAGGCTGGGGCAGAGCAGGCTTCGAAAGAGAAGTGGGAAGCAGCACCTGCAGCAACTCCCTAAGGCCCCAGAATGCAGTACAAGAGCTTTCTAAAAGCCTTGTCTGGGTACAGGGAGGGTGCCATTAAGAGAATGAAAGCATTTTGGACAATATATAGATGGCACGGGGTCATCACTGTGAAGATTGTAGACCAGAAGCCAACAGAATGGTAATTTAGAAAAATGAGTTAAGTAGCACTGTAGGAGCAGAGTTAGAAAGGATAACATATCCAGACATGATTTTTTTTTTTTTTTTGAGATGGAGTCTCGCTCTTGTTGCCCAGGCTGGAGTGCAATGGCTTGATCTCGGCTCACTGCAACCTCCGCCTCCTGGGTTCAAGCAATTCTCCTGCCTCAGCCTCCCGAGTAGCTGGGATTACAGGCCTGTGCCACCACGCCCGGCTAATTTTTTGTATTTTTAGTAGAAACAGGGTTTCACTATGTTAGCCAGGCTGGTCTCAAACTCCTGACCTCAGATGACCTGCCTGCCTCGGCCTCCCAAAGTGCTGGGATTACAGGCGTGAGCCACCTTGACTGGCCCAAGCCTTTTTTTTTTTTTTTTTTTTTTTGTGACAGAGTCTCAGTCTGTCGCCCAGGCTGGAGTGCAGTGGCGCCATCTTGGCTCACTGCAACCTTTGCCTCCTGGGTTCAAGTGGTTCTCCTGCCTCAGCCTCCTGAGTAGCTGGGACTACAGGTGCGTCCCAAGACTGGCAAATTTTGTGCCCGTGTTAGCCAGGGTGGTCTTGATCTCCTGAACTCGTGATCCACCCGCCACGGCTTCCCAAAGTGCTGGGATTACAGGCGTGAGCCACCGTGCCCAGCTGACATGATTTTTAAAGTTATAAAAATCAATTTGAAAACACCAAGTTTGGCTTTTCTTTGCTCACCATAATACCTAACAGGCAGTTCTTGGTTAATATTAGTTAATGTTAAATGTGAAATGAATGGCCTCTGCAAAGTGATTGCTTTTGTTCTAACACTAAGAATATCTCCTAGAATAAAGTAATCCATAAATATTGTGGTTTATACATCAAATTTCTATGAGTTTGACCAATATGAGTCTCTTCTTTGCAACCTAATAATTCTTGGATGAACGAATAGCACTGGGTTTCCAAACTTTCCAGGTTGACGGTCTGATGCTGGATTAATTATTTGCTGGAACGCAATATGAATAGATCCTTGCTATGATGCAAAAATTAATCTATTGAAAGGATATAGGACAGGTCAGAGAATAAAAAGATTTGTTGGATAATTTGGCCTCAAGAGGCCAGACCCAAAGAAGCTTCAAGGATCGTAGCAGCAGGGACTTGTAACTGTCTTTCTATGGCACTGCTGTCAGATAATGTAGCTTCATCACCTTCTGTGTCAGTGTTTCAGCTGGTTTCAGCAACCAGCTCGAAACTTAAATTCCTGGGGGAAAAAAGTGTTATTGGCCAAACAAAGATCAAACATCAACCTCTATGTTGGGAGTAGACAGCAGGGTTTTGTGACTGACAAACCTGTCAAAACCACGTATTGGATGTCCAGCAGCAGCCTCCAAGGAAGGAATTCTAGGAAGACAAAAAATAATTGATATGCATTCTGGGCATTTCCATTTAGATATTTACCCTCAAAGGAGGATGAACAGGTGATTAGATAAGATGCTGCATAAGGGCCTTTCCACCTCTGAGAAGTCTACACATTAGAATTGATATTTATCATTCCAGAGACCAAATCCTACAGATAAAGATGAATTCGTGGACTTGGAGCTTATCTACACGGGTCTTATTTCCTAGAAGTTTTCAATATTTTTTCAATATGTCTGCATGATCTGGTGATTTAAATTTTTCTGATTACAGCATAAAATAGTATAGAATTTAGAATACATATAGAAAAATACACAGATCATAAGTGCCGAGCTCAAAGAATTGTCACAAAGTGAATAATATGTGTAATCAGAACCCAGATTGAGAAATAAAATCTGACCAGCAACCCAGAACATCCCCTGATGCCCCCACTTCCCCCAACAAAGGTAACTGCTAAACTAACTTCTATCTCCATCAGTAAGTTTTGCCTTGTTTGGGGCTTTATATAAGTTGAATTGTATATTTTGTGCTCTTTTGTGCCTGGTTTCTTTCATTCAACATTACGTTTTATGAGATTCACCCATGATGCTACAAGTAATTTGTTTTTTCTCTTTGCTGTGTGGTATTTTGTTTTATGAGTACGGTGCTGCTTATCCATTCCACTGTTAATGAACATTCTTTCCTGTTTTTGACTATTACTAATAGTGCTGCTATGAACATTCTCATACATGTTTTTTTGTGAATATATCCGCTCATTTCTGCTGGATATATATCAAGCCTGGGTATATATCAAGGAGTGGAACTGCTAGTTCAAAGAGTATGTGTTATATAGGTTCAGCATTCATAGGTAGTACTAACAGTTATTCAAAGTGGTTGTACAGGTTTGTGTTTTTATTTATTTATTTTTATTTTATTATTATTATTATTTTTGAGACAGAGTCACGCTCTGTCGCCCAGGCTAGAGTGCAGTGGCACGATCTCGGCTCACTGCAACCTCTGTCTCCTGGGTTCAAGCGATTCTCCTGCCTCAACCGCCTGAGTAGGTGGGACTACAGGTGCGAGCTACCACACTCAGCTAATTTTTCTTTTTCCTTTTTTTTTTTTTTTTTTTTGTATTTTTAGTAGAGACAGGGTTTCGCCATGTTGGCCAGGCTGGTCTTGAACTCCTGACCTCAACTGATCCACCCGCCTCAGCCTCCCAAAGTGCTGGAGTGCAGTGGCACGATCTCGGCCTCCTGGGTTCAAGCGATTCTCCTGCCTCAGCCTCCTGAGTAGCTGAGACTACAAGCATCTGCCACCACGCCCAGCTAATTTTTGTATTTTTAGTAGAGACGGGGTTTCACCATATTGGCCAGGCTGGTCTTGAACTCATGACCTTGTGATCTGCCCACCTCAGCCTCCTAAAGTGCTGGGATTACCAGGCATGAGCCACCGAGCCCGGCCCAGATTTATGTTTTTAATAGCAGTGCGTACAAATTCCAGTTGTTCCACATCCTTGACAATTCTTTATTTTAACCAGTCTGGTAGGTGTGCAATATCTTATTGTGATGTTAATTTAGATTCCTCAGATGACTCATGAAGTGGAGTATCTTTTCATATGTTTAAGGGCCATTTGAAATGCTCTTTTTTGAGGTGCCCGTCAAAATCTTTTGCCCACCTTCTGATTGTATTGTCTCTTTTTCTTATTGATCTGTAGGGGTTCTTTATATATTCTGGACAAAAATCCTTCTTGGGATATATATATTACATATGTCTTCTCTCATTATGTGGTTTTCCTTTTTACTCTCTTAATCTTATCATTTGATGATCTTAAGTTCTTAAAATTAATGTTTTTTAGTTTTGTTGGCTTTTCTTTTCTTCTTCTTCTTTTTTTTTTTTTTTTTTGGCATGGCCTTTCTCTGTTGCCCAGGCTGGAGTACAGTGACATAATACAGTGACATAATCATAGCTCCCTGCAGCCTTGAACATCTTGGCTCAAGCTATCCTCCTGCTTCAGCCTTCCAAGTAGCTGGGACTATAGTCATGCACCACCACATCCAGCTAATTTTAGAATTTTTTTGTAGAGATGGGGATCTCACTACTCACTATGTTGCCCAGGCTGGGCTCAAACAATCCTCCCACCTAAGCCTCCCAATGTTCTGTGATTACAGGTGTGAGCCACCACACCCTGCCTGGCTTTTCCTTTAGGCTTAGTGCTCTTAGTGTACTGCTTGAAAAATTTTAGACAGAGCAATTATAGTAGTTGGAAAAATAGTATAGGTCCATACAAAACTAAAAATAAATTAAGAACAAAAAACATGGCATTCATTAACTTCAAGAAAAAAATCAAACTAGAAACAAGACATAATCACAATATACTACTTGGTTCAACAGTGACAATTATTTACACAATTATAATACAATCCTTGACTACTGATTTATCCAAAAATTATGATAACTTTTTGAGGTCTCTGTGGGGGCCCAATAAGTAACAACCATCTTCCCAACCTGAGTTCTGAACAAATGGAAAAATAATGCAAAAGAGTGGCAGAGAGAGGTTAAATGTCACCTTTATTATAATCGATTAGAGGCCAAGTTGCAGAGTGTGGCATCAAGTGTTTTTGCAAAGTGGGATGGTTAAGACAAAACCAGACATAGATGGAATTACCCCCTCAGTCACATACGCCATGCTGGATCAAGGCGGGCCTTCTCACATGAGTCCTTCATGGTGCCCATGCAGCTGGCAGGAGCCCCTTTGGGTCAGCAGATGATTGTTTGACATCCAACACCACTAGATTTTCAAGGGAGTAGTTTAGTTTAAAAAGGAAGAAACTTTATCTATAATTCTTCTGGTAAAATGAAAATCACTCTAGGCAGGTATTCATGTAGGAGTATTTTTTTTATTTCAGCTTTTATTTTAGATACGAGGGGGTACATGTACAGGTTTGTTACGTGGGTATATGGAACCCAGATAGGAGCATAGTACCCAATGGGTAGTTTTTCAATCCATGCCCCACCGCCTCCCCTCCCCCTTTAGTAGCCTGCAGTGTCTATTGCTCCCATGTTTATGTCTGTGGGAGCTCAATGTTTAGCTCCCACTTGTAAGTGAGAACATGCAGTATTTGGTTTTCTGTTCTTGCATTAATTTGCTTAGATTATGGCCACCAGCTCCATCTATGCTGCTGCAAAGGACATGATCTCATTCTTTTTTATGGCTGCATAGTATTCCATCATGTATCTCTACCATATATATTTTTTTTATCCAACCCACCATTGATGGGCCCCTAGGTTGATCCCATGCCTTTACTATGTATGAAATGTGGCAATGTACATACAAGCACATGTGTCTTTTTGGTATACTGATCTATTTTAGGAGTATGTTTTCATTAAGATGTACCTAATGCTATAAAAAATAAACTCCTGGCCAGGCGCAGTGGCTCATGCCTGTAATCCCAGCAATTTGGGAGGCTGAGGCGGGCAGATCACCTGAGGTCTGGAGTTTGAGACCAGCCTGACCAACATGGAGAAACCCCGTCACTACTAAAAATACAAAATTAGCTGGGCGTGGTGGAGCGTGCCTGTAAACCCAGCTACTAGGGAGGCTGAGGCGGGAGAATCCCTTGAACCTGGGAGGCAGAGGTTGCAGTGCGCCAAGATCACACCATCGCACTCCAGCCTGGGCAACAAGAGCGAAACTCCGTCTCAAAAAAAAAAAAAAAACTCTCCTAAATTTATGTCTCAACCACAATATAAATTGAGTTATTAATGATATAACAGGCCAAGTCACGTGTTCCTCATCAGTGGAGGCAGCTCTGCCATTTTCACAGTTGACTTCCAAGGTTGCACTAGTCCTTTCAGTATACAGAAACATGGGAGGGAGGTTCTTACGGGCCAGGCATAGAAGTGCCACTCATTTCCACTCATGTTCGACTGGCGAGAGACCTAACTGCAAGGGAAGCTGGGAAATGTAGTCTAGCTATGAGTGCAGGAAGAAGAGGAGCCTACAAATTTTGGTGAACAGCTGTCTCTGCCACTGGATGTAAGGTTCATGTGGGCAGGGGCTTTTTTGTTCCTTATTGCCTCTTGTGAGTGACTCATAGTGGGCATTCGATAAATGTTTGTTGAATAAATAATGTAGTGGGAAGAACATGGGCATTGAAATAAAAAAGACCAGAATCCTAACCCGAGCTCTGCCACTTCGTAATTGTATTAATTTAGACAAGTTACTTAAATTTCTCAAGGCTCAATTTGTCATGTATAACGGAGATGAAAATATACTTGTGATCTGCTTCCCAGGCCATACTAGCCAGATGTGAGAATAGGTAGTAGCTGAAATTATGCCGACAAAAATAATAATAGTGGCTGGGCTCAGTGGTTCATGCCTGTAATCTCAGAATTTTGCAGACTGAGGCAGAAGGATTGCTTGAGCCCAGGAGTTCAAGACCAGCCTGGGCATCATAATGAGACCCCCATCACCACAGAAAATTTAAAAATTAACTGGGCGTGGTGGCCTGCATCTGTAGTCCCAGCTACTTGGGAGGCTGAGGCAGGAGGATTGCTTGAGTCCAGAAGTTCAAGACCAGGCTGGGCAACATAACAAGAACCTGTCTCTATTATTTAAAAAAAAAATTTTTTTAATAGTTATCATTTCCCTGGTCCTGCTTCCTCACTAATATTTCTGAAATAGGTCTCTGATTTCCTCCCAAATTACTCTGAGAGTGAGGAAGGGGATGTAACATGGAGAGAGTGGTTCTCTCATATATATATATTTTTAAATTTTATTATTATTATTATCATTATTTTGAGAAGGAGTCTCGCTCTGTCGCCCAGGCTGGAGTGCAGTGGCGCGATCTCGGCTCACTGCAAGCTCCGCCTCCTGGGTTCATGCCATTCTCCTGCCTCAGCCTCCTGAGTAGCTGGGACTACAGGCGCCCGCCACCACACCCGGCTAATTTTTTTTGTATTTTTAGTAGAGATGGGGTTTCACCGTGTTAGCCAGGATGGTTCTCGATCTCCTGACCTCATGATCCACCCGCCTCGGCCTCCCAAAGTGCTGGGATTACAGGCATGAGCCACCACACCTGGCCTCTTCTTCTTTTTTAAAATGTATTCTTAAAGCACTATATTTGTCCAAGCAGCCAATAGCGTCTCCATTTCCCTGTTTTCTGCCTCTGGCACCCTGGAGTGGCCAGATGGTCAAGGCTTGGGCTGAGGCTACAGGTTCCCAATGCCTTCATGCTCCCAGATCACTACGTGCTCTCGGTTCCTTCCAGAGCCCCATGGCTCTGCCACGTACGCTGCCCAGCAAGGGTGCTCCAGGTCATACTATCTTGCCTTAATAGCTTTCAATTGCAGTGGCTTTGTTTGTTTGCTTCTATTCTTTTATTCAATCTCACTAGACTAAGGCAGAAATCCCCAGAGCAGAGACAGCATATAATGTTAGCGACAAGCAGCTTACAATATTCATGACATCCCTCCCACTTTCACCCAAATTTGCCCCATTGTCCTTAGAATGAGCTCTTTCTCTGGACTTCCTTGATTCTTGAAGCAAATAGATTCCCTCCCAACAGACTTCCAGACATTTATAGATCTGTCAGAACTCTGGGCTGAACCTAGGTTTGTCGGCCTAGCTGGGATTCCCTGCACCCCACCCCTGTGCTTTTCTGCTTTGCAGGGTTGATGTTGGCATTCAATTAGATAAAGTAGGTAAAATACCAGAGTTGTTGGTGGCATCAAAAAGGTACACAGTACATGTTGCTTCTTTTCATATTATTTGGGCTACTTCTGGCATCACCAAAATTTATAGCTATACATCACTTATTCCCCTGAAGGTAGTCCCCTGGCTACAAGCACCCTTGAATTTGAGACAGATGGCATAAATACTACATCACCTTGGTACTTAGGGCAGGGTCTGCAAATTCAGTTAATAGACAGTCTTGGATATAGGGCCTGCAGGGATTGCATTTTCCAGAACAGGAAATAGAAAACTGATATGGGCCACAAGGGAGTGATACCATGAGAGCAGCATCTTCACACATTATTTTTCCAATTATCCACAGATATTTGCTATTCAAGTGGGGCATGGGAATTACTAAGGTAATTACTAGCTGTCCCAACAACTGCTATGTGGACCCTTCATTCCAAAAAAAGGGAAGAAGATATGAAAGAGAGAAAATATGCAAAATAAACAATATTCTAACCAATGCCTTTTGGATGAATTAGAGCAGAAAAGAACAGAAATGTGGAAAACAGGAGATGCTTGCAGTGACTCACAAATGAGCAGATGAGGGCCTGAACCAAGAAGGCAGTTGTTTAACTGCTTTGATAATGGCAAGTATGAGACATTGTAGAAGAAAAAATTAGGATAAGTTTTTGATGAGTTAGACATGGGACGTGCAAGAGAAAAAGGAACAGAAAGAATGATGAGGTTATTAGCTTGAGAAGCAGGGTAGTGCCTCTGAGCTTAAGGCATAGGACCGAGAGTGAGAAGACCTGTCCCTACCACTTTGAACAAGTGACTTAACCCCTCTTAGCCCACTCTTCTCATTTGTAAAGTGTCTCTGCTCACCACATAGTGGTTTTGTAAGGCACAAATAAGATGATGTGCAGGAAAGCTGCAATGTGCTGGACAAGTGAAAGGCAGTAATGTTCATCATCATCATCATCAGTAAGGAAGCTGGAAAGGGAATATAATGTGACTAAGAGTATGAGAAATTCAATTTTAAATATGCTAAGATGTTGGCTTAACATCAAAGTGAAGATAACAGAAAACTAGCTAACGTGGGGAATGACTTAAGGAGTTAATGAGTCAGGGCCATTATATACAACAACAACAACAACAACAAAATATGTTTCCATAAGAGGCCAAGTCTAATCTGTCATTGATGGGCATTTAGGTTGATTCCATGTCTTTGCTATTGTGAATAGTGCTGTAATGAACATACACATGCATGTGTCTTTATGGTAGAATAATTTGTATTCCTTTGGGTATATACCCAGTAATGGGATTGCTGGGTTGAATGGTAGTTCTGCTTTTAGCTCTTTGAGGAATTGCCACACTGCTTTCCACAACAGTTGAGCTACACTCTCACTAACAGTGTATGAACGTCCCATGGAATACTATGCAGCCATAAAAAAGAACAAGATCATGTCCTTTGTGGGAACATGGATGGAGCTGGAAGCCATTGTCCTTAGCAAACTAATGCAGGAACAGGAAACCAAATAGCAGATGTTCTTACTCAGAAGTGGGAGCTAAATGATGAGAACACATGGACATAAAGAGGGAAACAACAGACACTTGTGCCTACTTGAGGGTGGAGGGTGGGAAGAGAGAGGATCAGAAAAAATAACTATTGTGTACTAGGCTTAGTACCTGGGTGACAAAATAATCTATTTAACAAACCCCCATAACACAAGTTTACCTATATAACAAACCTGCACATGTCCCCTGAACCTAAAATAAAAGTTAAAAAAAAGGGGCCAAGTATTCTAATTTATTGAGCTGATTTGGGATATAAGGTCAACTGTGGAACTGAGGCATATAATCACTTGCATAGTAGAATAAGCATACGCAGCACACCTGAGCAATAGCGTTACTGGTATTTCTGTGCTATGAGAGCCTGGATGTGGCTGCCTTAACACTACAGACCCTTGACTGGAGCTTCATTCATCAATGTCCTTGGATGTCCACCTATGAAGTGCACAAAAAGAGCAAAAGCAAATTTGACTAAAATGGGAAGGGGAAATGGTGTAGGAGTAAACAGTAAAAAGGAAAAGAAAGCCAAGATAAATGTAAGAAAGTAAAAGGAGATGTTGAGTAAAGGATATTTGTCCATGGGATGCAACTATAAATAAACCAGGGAGAAAAAAGATTTTTATGTACTTAAGAATGGAAATCAATGAACTGGACTGAGTATTGTATCAAAACTGTAAGGCATATGATTGTGATGGAAGACACCTCACTTCCTTTTCCTGAGAGAAAGCCACAGGTAATCACCCTTTGTAAAATAAATCATTTTGTATATATGAAAAGAGAATTTGCTGTTTGAAGGAATCCCATGATGGTTCCTCATATAAAGTAAGAGTTCACTTCATAAAGCAAACAATCACTCCCATTTGTGAAATGGATGAATTGGTTGATTGCACAATTTATCACTTGTGTATAGACCTGTATTGTCATCTACTAGGACTCTGTAGATCAAAATAAAGATGACGTTGAACCTGAAGTTCAGCTAGAGATAACCCATTTTCTACCTTCTCTCCCAACTACCTCTTCTTGAGTAAGTTCCCTGGAGATGCCACACCACATCTCCCTCCAAAAGTAACCAAAAAATGAATGACTGAAGAAAGAGGGGGCCCCCGGCCTGGGGCCATCTGGTGCGAAATGTGAGCTAAGCAAGTTGCTTTCCCTCTCTCAGGACTTAGGACTGAGGAAAAAACAAAGCAGTGGTGGCTGAAGTCAAAAGGATTGCAAGTTGCCAACCAAAGTTCAAGAGACAAGAAACAATGATAATGCAGACGAAGCTGCCAATAGACAGGAAATGGATCTGTAGGAAGAAGCAGAATATAGGAGCTGTGAGATCAGGATCTAGGAGAAAAGATTAGAAAGTCACTCTTAGAAAGGGCTTTACTTTAAAAGCAGTTTAAGTAGAAGGCCAGCAAGAGAAGCCAGTTGCAAGGTATGTTGATGCACGGGTGGGTGGAGGTGACGAGAGAATATCACTGCTTGGGATTTCAAGAGACTGAGTGGAATGTGACCGATCCTGTATGGGAGGATGAAGTCTCAAGTATGTAGGGAAAATAGGACTTTGCTTCCCTGTGAGCCAGGTGAGCTAAGAACTGGACCTGCATTTAGAATGGGGGGTAAAATTGACCTGATAGAACTAAAAACCACATGATAAACTATTTATTAAACAAGCTTTTAATAGGTTGTTAGATTAATTTAAGTTAAAACAATGGAACCATGTACCTGCGACTTACCAACTTCATGTAGTATATCATCTAAGATTTCCACATGCTGTAGTAACCTGGTTTTGCAATCTCACTCAATTGTCCATGTAAGCAGGAATAAAAGAAAGAAATATAGCAGAGGCCCTAAAGAAAATAAAAAGAAAAGTAAGTCTGCACTCTTAAGGACATGGTCAACTGTTTGAAAAATGCTTCTTTTTTGATAAACTTAAAAATCTTACCCTCTCCCAAGATTCTGACACTATCACCTATCACCTCAGGGCAATGTTTTTCAAACTGTAGGTCATGAAATCAATTTGGATGGTCATGACCAGCATTTTTTAAAAAGAATAGTATGTACTGTTATTTTAAAAAAGATGTTTTGGTTGTTTTAATTACACACACACACACACACACACACACACACACACACACAATGTGTACTGAGTGAAGATGTAAAATGTATTTCTTACTGTGGTTCACAACAAAAAAGTTAGAAAAACATTTCCCTCTCCCTGGCCTCTCTATTGAGATTATTTTATTTTCTGCATATGTCCAGTTTTACTTTTTTCTTTTTTGAGACAGAGTCTTGCTCTGTCACTCAGGCTGGAGTGCAGTGGCTTGCTCATAGTCATTGCAGCCTCGACCTCCCAGGCTCAGGTAATCCTCTCATCTCAGCCTCCCTAGTAGCTGAAATTGTAGGTACACAACAGCATACCCGACTAACTTTTTTTTTTTTTTGAGAGGGAGTCTCACTCTGTCATCCAGGCTGGAGTGCAGTGGCACAATCTCAGCTCACTGCAACCTTGGCTTCCTGGGTTCAAGCGATTCTTCTGCCTCAGCCTCCTGCGTAGGGGGGATTACAGGTGCATGCCACCGTGCCCAGCTAATTTTTGTATTTTTAGTAGAGATGGGGTTTCACCATGTTGGCCAGGCTGGTCTCGAACTCCTGACCTTAAGTGATCCACCTATCTTGGCCTCCCAAAGTGCTAGGATCACAGGCTTGAGCCACTGCACCCTGCCCTGACTAGTTTTTTTGTTTCTAATTTTTTGCAGAGACAGAGTCTCACTTTATTGCCCAGGCTGTTTTACTTTCTTTAATTCACATGATGAAAACAAAATGTCTCATTTATTTTTCAAATATTAAAAAATATATTCTAGTCTGAACGCAGTGGAGGCTGAGGCAGGTGGATCACTTAAGGTCAGGAGTTCGAGACCAGCCTGGCCAATATGGTGAAATTCCATCTCTATTGAAAATACAAAAGTTAGCTGGATGTGGTGGTGGACGCCTGTAATCCCAGCTACTCAGGAGGCTGAGGCAGGAGAATTGCTTGAACCGGGGAGGCAGAGGTTGCAGTGAGCTGAGATCATACCACTACACTCCAGCCTGGGCGACAGAGCAAGACTCTGTCTTAAAAAAAAATACATATATATATACACATATATATATTTGTTAAGATGGAGTTTAAAAAAACAAAAATATATATCTATATAATATATATGAAATACTTTGAAAAAACATGTTCAATCAATATTTTTCAAACTATGCCCTCCCCTGCACCTGGGAATTCTTATATTTCCCCTAAGTGTCAAGAGTGCCCCTGGTTGAGAATTACTGGATGAAGGCACAGGGAAACCTCACCTTTTGAATAATAGCAGCATCAATTCTCAGCAAGGAAGCCCTATAAACCTTCTGTTTTGAGTTTTTGCTGACCTTATTTCTTCATATTATTTCCAGAAAGAATATAGAGGTCAGTGGGCCCCCAGGAATCTTACAAACTGATATTTAGGTTCTGTGAATTCTCAGGCTCATTATTCAAGTTAAAAGGTTGTCATTCTCGGCCAGTTGCGGTGGCTTACGCCTGTAATCCCAGCACTTTGGGAGGCCAAGGCAGATGGATCATGAGGTCAGGAGATCAAGACCATCCTGGCTAACATGGTGAAACCCTGTCTCTACTAAAAATACAAAAAATTTGCCAAGCATGGTGGCGGGTGCCTGTAGTCCCAGCTACTTGGGAGGCTGAGGCAGGAGAATGGCGTGAACCTGGGAGGCGGAGCTTGCAGTGAGCCGAGATCGCGCCACTGCACTCCAGCCTGGGTGACAGAGCAAGACTCCATCTCAAAAAAAAAAAAAAAAAAAAAAAAGGTTGTCATTCTCTGTATGCCTCTATTGTAGAAATGTTGATATTTGAAGGGAGAGAATCTTAAAAATATTAAATAGCTGGTCAGCGTGGCTACTGAATAATCCGAATGAATGTTGACCATCAACAACCAATAGATGCATTATACCTGAAGATCTCTTAGCAATGGAGGAAAAGTGGAGGATTAAATCCTAGCCCTCTCCCAAACAATACTCATGAATTTTGATAAGATACCCCAGAGCAAGGTAGAATTAGCCAATGTCAAATGGTAGTGGTAGCCAGGTGTTGTGGCTCACACCTGTAATCCTAGCACTTTGGGAGGCCAAGGCGGCCAGATCATGTGAGGCCAGGAGTTTGAGACCAGCCTGGCCAAAATGGTGAAACCCCATCTCTACTAAAAATACAAAAATTAGCCAGGCAAGGTGGTGCATGCCTGTGGTCCCAGCAACTGGGGAGGCTGAGGCAGGAGAATTGCTTGAACCTAGGAGGTGGAGATGGAGGCTGCAGTGAGCCAAGATAGTAACACTGCACTGCAGCCTGGGCGACAGAGTGAGACTCTGTCTCAGAAAAAAAAAAAAAAAGGTAACAATGAAGATTAAACTATTTTTTTTTAACGTTGAAGCTAGGAAAAATCAGGCATGGTGTGGGAGAAAGCAATACCTAGGAATGAAGTGGTGAAAGGTCTTCAAAAACAAAAAAAAAAACAAGCACACCTTAAAACAAGAAGGAGGTAAAGTAGGTTTTTTTAAAAAGCATTAAAGACTATAAGGGAAGAATGGAAGAGAAAAGCAAGAAAAGGCTCAGAAGAGGCAAGACAATGGAATGAATATCTTATTAGATTAGCTCAAGTCTGGAAAAATAAGGTAGGCCTAAGAAGAATATCCAGGATGCCTTTAACGGAAAGAATAGATTGAAAGACAGAGCCAAGATACTGCCTGAACTTTCCTCCTGGACCGGCAAGTACACAGGGAACCATACTTGCTTTAGGGATCTGAGAGCCAGGAGTGGCCTCAGAGATGAGGCACAACTGGCTCATGGGTTGTAATTGATGGAGCCAAGGGAAAGATAGCACCCATGGGCAAAGCTGGGTGCATGCCACACAGAGAGTCCCACTGAAGTGTCAGGCCAAAGGATCTGGGAAACATGGCAGAAATAACCAGGTGCTGGGCAGTGGAACAGGAACTGGAGCTCCCAGGACAGGACAAGCAATTTCGAATGACAGGTGGGAGGCAGAGCCTTAGGATTTCCCAGGGCACTGGAGTATCATCACAGAGGAATTTTATGGGGCTGTTTAGGGAGCTAAGCTGGTTTTACATAAATGTAATGGAGCCAAGCTCTTAACCTCAGCAAGAAATAATAGCCATGACAACAAGAACAACAACAGCAATAATAGTAGCTACTCTATACCCACTGTGGCCCCTGGTTTGAATCTTGGTTCCATCATTCACTGGTGGCAAAATGGGTCTATTTAACAAGCTTTTGGACCTCTCCCAGCTTCAATTTTCTCCCTTTTAAAACGCAGGTTATGAGAAGGACTGTCTTCCTGGATGATTACCTCCATTCCTATGGCGTTAAGAATCTATGTGTCGGCAACTCCCAAATTCGTTTCTCCAATTCGAACCTCTCCTCTGAGTTTCAGACTCCTGCATCCAAACACAACTCAAATTTACAATGGCAAAATGACATTTTTTAGATTCTCTTGACCCTGGCCTTCCTCTCCATAAATGGCACCATCGGTTGCTCAACTTGACGTCCTTGAGTCCTCCTTCTCCTCGACTCCCAACATCCAATCCAATGAACCCTAAAATAAAATCCAAAATCCTTTCCATGGCCATGGCCAATTCTACTGAAGTCCATCTATTCTTGCTCTAGAATGAAGCTGAGACGGCCATAAAAATCCAGGAGACCCTCATAATGGTCTCTGTCTCTTCTGCATTTCTCCTGATCACTTTCTCTTCTCTGCTCCCAACTGCTGCTTCTCATCATTGTCTTTCCAGGTTTTCTTTTCTTTTCTTTTTTTAAATTTTTTTTAGAGATGAGGTCTCGCTCTGTCACTCAAGCTGGAGTGTGGAGGAGCACTCTGTCATGGCTATCATGGCTCACAGCAGCCTCAACCTCCGGGGCTCAAGGTGATGCTCCCGCCTCAGCTTCCCGAGCTGGGACCACAGGCACACACCACCACACACAGCTAAATTTTTGTATTTTTAGTAGAGACAAGGTTTCGCCATGTTGTGCAGGCTGGTCTTGAACTCCTGAGCTCAAGCCATCTGCCCACCTTGGCTTCCCAAAGCCCTGGGATTGCAGGCGTGGGCCACCACGTCCGGCCCTTTCCAGGTTTTCTAAGCCCTGTTTGGTTTTGGTTTTTCTCAGTTCTCTAAAGACTTCCTGGCATTTTGTAGCCGTTTGGGATGTGCATCACTGGTTCCAACCTCAGTCCTCCTCCTCAGAAAAGGTTCTTTTATGTTCCCACCAACCCCAATACCCAACGACATTGGGTAAGAAACTCTTTCGAATTCACTTAAGCTTTAGTAAAATGTAGTCGTGCGCAGAACTGTGTAAGGTGAATCAAAGTCGGTGAGCAGAGAAAACCAAGCACTTTAGAGACAGCGTGTGTTGGAGAAACATTCAAACCAAAAGGCATGGCTTTTTATGGAAAAGTGTTCCCCTTTTGAGCTGTGGCAGGTTGGAAGGATTTGAGATCAGGCTGCAGATGAGCCGGGAACCCTGGGGGCTGGGGTTCTGTGTACTCACTCTGCTCCTCTTTTGCAGCAGCTACCTCGCCCTGCTCTCTTCCCCTTCCTACTCACAGTAAAACCACAATCTGCAGCCAGACAGTTGGGTTATCAGCCAGCAGTGCATTTCTATGCAGTAGGGCTGTCCATAAACAGTAGAATGATAAAGAATTCATCCTCAAGCATTTTTACTCTGATCCATCTAATTTGAGGCTCATATCTAAACCAAGAATATTCAGGAGGCTGAAAAGCATTGTATGTGATAAGGATGATCTGTATTGGGGAGAACAGGGAGTGGGGATGGATGCCTAAGATTGTTAGAGCAGGTTAAGAAAAACATGCTTTTCCTTCCTTCCTTGAAGACGGAATAAGATATCAGTTTAGGAAGCTGTCTTTCATGGAGGATAATGGCTAAAACCTCATTTCAAATGCAGCTTCCACGTAGAAATCCTCGCATGCCTGCTCTTTGTCTAAGCCCTCTAGGGTAGCTGGGCCCTGTGCGTTTTGCTTATTTTAGTATCCCCACAAACTAACACAGTGAAGGCACTTAGTAGACACTCATTAAATACTTGTTATTTAAATGTAACCTCTCTGGCACCCCAATGCCCTAACTTCTTCCTGCCTTTTGCATTTTATAATTAAAAAAAAAAACTATTTCAATCCTTAGAACTTGAGTTGCCCACTCAAAATAACGTGGGCAGCCTGGCAAGACAGGGGCACAGAGGTCTCAAATGAGGTGCACAGGATACCAGAACTGTCTACCATTCTTCAGACTCAAGTTCTATTCCATACCCATGCCGCTAAAGGAAGAATGCTGGAGAAGGCATTGCTTTCCCATCCTATAGAGGAAACTGAGGCTCAGGCAGAATGAGTAACTTGCTCAGATTCTCTCAGTTTGGAGTGTCAGGTCCAGAAGTCTCAGAGTTTTGGAAGGAGCCTGAGCTGACCACAGTTCAGATCAGGGCTCTCCTACTTATCTGCCACTTAGAAATAACGTGGGCAATATTTGCAATTTCTGTGGGCCTACCTCTGTAACAAGGAATAATGATAGGATTATTCTATCCTGAGCGATGAATTAAAATGGGATGATACTTGGGCCAATCACAGTGACTCACACCTGTAATCCCAGCATTTTGGGAGGCTGAGGTGGGTGGATAGCTTGAGTCCAGGAGTTCAGAAACAACCTAGGCAACATGGCAAAAACCCGTCTCTACAAAATATACAAAAAATTAAGGCCAGGAGCTGTGGCTCACACCTGTAATTCCAGCACCTTGGGAGGCCGAGACGAATGGATCACCTGAGGTCAGGAGTTTGAGACCAGCCTAGCCAACATGGCGAAACCCTGTCTCTACTAAAAATACAAACAAAATTAGCTGGGGGTGGTGGCGCACGCCCTGTAGTCCCAGCTACTCGGGAGGCTGAGGCACGAGAATTGCTTGAACCTGTGAGGTAGAGGTTGCAGTGAGCCAAGATTGCACCGCTGCACTCCAGCCTGGGCAATAGAGTGAGACTCTGTCTCAAAAAAAAAAAAAAAAAAAAAAATTAGCTGGGCATGGTGGCACATGCCTGTAGTTCCAGCTAGTCAGAAGGCTGAGGTGGGAGGGTCGCTTGAGCCCAGGAGTTCGAGGCTGCAGTCAGCTATGATGGCACCACTGCGCTCCAGCAGAGTGAGACCCTGTCTCAAAATAAATAAATAAATAAAAATAAAAAAGTGATACAGGAAAGTGTGTGCAAATTAGATAAGCACAAACAATAGTTTCCTTCTTCTACCCCGAGTGGAAACAGCAGATACAATTTTGTGAAGATAATAAAACTTTGTTGATTATTAAAAAAAATCAATCTGAAAATAAAGATTCCATGCATAATAAACAGTATTTATAGAACTCTAATTAAAAGGGCATTTTGACAATGTTAATTCTTGTGTCTGGCATATCTATTATCTGGTACACACATGCATGCGTGTGCACACACACACCTTTCCTTCCTCATTAACCAGTTTGAACAGTCAGCCTGCAGGCGGGAGCAGACAGGGACCCAGGAAGCCAGGGTGAAGAAGCTCCTAAATCAGATGGCTTCTGAGACAGTTTTCCCCTTCCCTCAGGCTGAGATATTCTGCCATCTGTTTTGATTAAACCTTTCAAAATTCAACTTGTGTTTTTCCTTCCATTCCTTTGAAATCTCCTTTAATTCAACAGTCTTTAGGCTTTCTTCTTTCCCTTAACCACCATCTGGTGCTTCTATTTAAAAAAAAGAAAGAAAGAAAGAAAAGAAAACACATACAACAAACACTTTGAGTTCCTTGGAAGAAAGGTATAATGATGAGGATAATTTATTCCCATAGTGAGGCCCATTACTATTTCCATGGCAACAGACTGTGATGTTCTGAACATGGGACTTTGTGATCATCACAAGAACAGAATGGCAAAAGGCCCTGTTCAGACTCTTTGTCCTTATGGATTCTTTGGGTAATCACCCTTGGTGGCTCCCAGTTGCCTACAGAATTAAATGCAAAGGCCTCAGGGTGGCATTCAAGGCCCTTCTAAATCTGGTCCAGTCATGCCAGGCTCGCCGTCTGCCAATCCCAGGGCACATGGTCCTCTGGCATTCTCTACAGCTCACTGCGCCCTGGACATATCACAAGCTCTCACACCTCCATTCCTTTGCCTCCACTGTGGCCTCTCCTTAAAATGCCCTTCCTCAACTTCCCTATTTGTTTTTCTTTTTTTAACCTAATGAAACCCTCCTCATTTGAGCTTAGCTCAAATGTCACTTTCTCTGTGGGCTCTTCCATGGCTCACCCAGGCAACAGCAATAACTCTTTTCTGTGCTGCAGGCATTTTGCTCAAACAAGTATAATGACGCCTAACATTTTGTATCATAGTTATGCTCATATCTCCTTCATTCAAATTTGGATTATTTGCTCTCAATATCCATGCCTATTTCATTTTTGTCAAACACCTCGATTACTTCACATGATTTCTTAAAACATCCTTGGGGGTAGGTGGTCAGGCTTTGAATCTCCATTTTACTGTTACAGCCCCAAAGTTTTAAAAATGTCAGAGATGGGGCCGGGCGCGGTGGCTCACACCTGTAATCCCACCACTTTGGGAGGCTGAGGGGGGCAGATCACTTGAGGTCAGGAGTTCAAGACCAGCCTGGCCAACATGGTGAGACCCCGTCTCTACTAATCCAAAAATTAGCTGGGCGTGGTGGCACGTGCCTGTAATCCCAGCTACTTGGGAGGCTGAAGCAGGAGAATCTCTTGAACCCAGGAGGTGGAGGTTGCAGTAAGCCGAGATCACACCACTGCACTCCAGCCTGGGCCACAGAGCAAGACTCTGTCTCAAAAAATAAAAAAATAAAAAAAGTCACAGATGGGTAGTAAGTGACAGAGCCAGAATTCCATGATAGAACGAAAAGAATGCGGACTTTAGAGTCAGGCATTTGGGGGCTCAACTTACGTTAACTCTCTAATCTTCTATTTTTTTCATCTGCAAAATTAAGATTAAACAAAATCATATGTGTAAAGGTGCTTGGCACATCATAATATTCAAATAATATTAGTTTTCTTCTTCTTTTCCCTCAACATCTACTTTCTAGCACCATCTAGAAACATGACATTTTTTATTCCATTTTTGTTTCCCAAATTTTTATATGATGCTGAAACTCAGATGAACAAGCAAACAGATGTCTTCTGCATCTTCCAGAGAAAAGTTTTGCCTTAATTCTCTTATCTGTAATCAAGTTTAAAAGAGAAGCTACCCGACAGAGTTGTAAAACTTAAATGAAGCAACATGTGAATGCATGGAGCTCTTAGCACAGTGTTTGGCATATAGGAAGCACTCGGGATGTTTGCAATTACATTATTACCATTATCATCCTCATCATCATCATGATTATGACCATTATTTTTTGTGTGACAGAACAATAGACCCAGTGAGAATTACAAAAATTAATGAGACAGTCTCACAACTCTGTCTTCAGGCTTCTTGTTCCACAGCTTGACCCTGGACTACAGGCATCCGTGCGGTCATTGCAGGCTTTAGATTGCAGGCTTTAGATAGGGCTTCTGAGCCTTATCTTGTAATTCTTTCTGTTGGGTGGACCTAAAACAAAACCTTGCAGAGGAGAAGCTTTCAGTAAAATTTGGTCAAAAGAATGTTGGATGGTATTTCTCCAAAAATGAGCACAAATACTGAAATAAGCCTCAAAAGCCTCTGGTTCCTCATCACCAAGATACTAATATTCACCAGTGGCGTATTGGCTAGGAGAGTCATTTTCATGAACACTGTGCATGTCTGTAGATTATTGAACAGTGCTTTTGAATACTTGAGATGTTTCCATGTGTAACTTTTCTGCATAAGCTTTCTCTATAGGACACAGAATATTCCCAGATGAGGAAACAGACTCTGCTCCTGATCTCCAGGGGATAGGCAACAGGGTCTTAAGAGACCGTGTCCTGGAAAACATGTCAACCAGGTGTCAAGCACAGCCTCAGCTGGGTGATCTAGTGGTGGCATCACTTAGACATTTATTCAGCAAGTATTTATGGAGTACCTCATTCATGTCAGGCCCAGAGTTGAGCTAAGTGAAAGCATGAAATCATCTTTAGCAATCTGTACCCCCCACCCCCACCAAACCAACCACCTAGTGAGAAAGGACATTATCACCTTCAGATTAGGGATGTGTGTCTCAGAGTTTAAGAGACTTGTCCCAGTAACACCCACTTAATGACAAAGAAAGGATTTACATTTAAACCAAAGTCTCTAAGACACCAGAGCTCACATATTCTGGTGCATTCCCAGCTCCCAAGATCACTTGCAGATTCCCCAAGATGCATCACTGATGATGACACCCCAGTGACAGGTGCTGGCCCACCTGTCCCCTTTCTTGCTGTCCATCATGTCAGAGTTAGGGTTGAGGTTGGATTTGCTGGTTTCACCTCTGGCCATCGCTTACATTATGGCCTCTGGTCTGTGCCTCCTTGGAATAGGCAGGGTCCACAACACTCAGGGTACGAAGGGTCACGGGGAGGGGGTTTGTGGTGTGTCCTTTAATACCTTCCTTTTTTCTTTTCCTTTTTATTTTTTGTTTTTTTGCTACAGCTAGGGGAGTGGGGGCACTGATTCTGACTCACTACACACTCTGAGAGTATCTGACTCATCCCAGCGCTGGTGTTCTTCCAGCTCTGCTCAGTACACCGAGGTGTCCTTCCCCAGCTGCCTGGGATCGGCCAGACCCGTTCAGATGCTCTTGGTTCAGCCCTAAATGACACCAAGGTTCATTAGTAAATTAGACACATACACAAGAATCAAAAACTCCCCAGCAACCAACAGGGCTTAGGCAAGTTTTGGACTGTGTTGAAGCCAAGATTAATGTGCAATACCATTAGAATTAATGAACTGCTTTGCATCCAAGCATATAGTTCACATTTACATTGGTCATATTGATAGTTAAAAGTTTATTTTTCAGTTTAAAAACTTACAAAAGTCAACTATAAATATGAACTATTGGTAGTTGAAAGTTAAAAGTTAACCATAATTTTTTAAAAAAGTTAACTATAAGTTAAAACAAAAGAGTTCTCTTTAACCAATATTTTAGACAGCTGTATAATAAAATATCCTTCTCTACTTTGAGAATTTGTAAGAGATCACATTTATCAAAAGTTAAGAAACAAGCCTTAATTTAGCTGCTTAAATAATTATCCTTTTGGCTGTTCCCATATAGTAAATTACAGGTGTTTCTTCAAGTACATGAAGGGCTCCAAGTTCATTTAATTGTTCCTGATTGCTATTTTTATCGCTATGCAATCATTCCATTTCAAAAAAGAATTTTGTATTTGGTAGAATTTTGGCATTAAACTGTCCTTTCTTCTCATGGTCCTGTTCTGCTTCAATCTCCAGCAGAGCTCTCCCCCATTAATTTATTGTCAAGAGTGTTTTGTCGGCCGGGCGCAGTAGCTCAAGCCTGTAATCCCAGCATTTTGGGAGTCCGAGTCGGGCGGATCACAAGGTCAGGAGATTGAGACCATCCTGGCTAACATGGTGAAACCTCATCTCTGCTAAAAATACAAAAAATTAGCCGGGCGTGGTGGTGGGCACCTGTAGTCCCAGCTACTCGGGAGGCTGAGGCAGGAGAATGGCGTGAACCCGGGAGGCAGAGCTTGCAGTGAGCCGAGATCGTGCCACTGCTCTCCAGCCTGGGCGACAGAGCAAGACTCCATCTCAAAAAAAAAAAAAAAGAGTGTTTTGTCCCATTCTCTGATAACTTTGCTTACTCTAATTGTAAAACTTTTATTTCCAGCAGTTATCATCTTCTAGGAGGCAGTCTTAATATGAGTATCAAAAATGCTCTCATCCTGGCCAGGCACAGTGGCTCACACCTGTAATCCCAGCACTTTGGAGGCTGAGGCAGACGGATCACTTGAGTTCAGGGGTACAAGACCAGCCTGGCCAACATGGTGAAACCCCCCCCCCCATCTCTACTAAAAATACAAAAATTAGCCAGGCAGCGTGGTATGCACCTATAATCCCAGCTACTCAGGAGGCTGAGGCATGAGAGTCACTTGAACCGGGAGGCAGAGGTTGCAATGAGCTGAGATCATGCCACTACACTCCAGCTTGGGCGACAAGAGCAGACTCTGTCTCAAAAAAAAAAAAAGGCTAGGTTTGGTGGCTCACACCTGTAATCCCAGCACTTTGGGAGGCCGAGGTGGGGGGATCATGAGGTCAGGAGTTCAAGACCAGCCTGGTCAACATGGTGAAACCCCATCTCTACTAAAAATACAAAAATTAGCCAGGCGTGGTGGCGCACGCCTGTAATCCCAGCTACTCAGGAGGCTGAGGCAGGAGAATGGCTTGAACCCGGGAGGCAGAGGTTGCAGTGAGCCAAGATTGCGCACTGCACCACTCCAGCCTGGGTGACAAGAGCAAGACTCTGTCTCAAAAAAAAAAAAAAAAGTCTCTCATCCTGTGGTGAGTATCCTGTATAACAGCAACGAACAACTTCCTTTCTAGGGAAAGCTGGCTTTCTCTCCATTTTTCAGAACAGATGTTTGTATTTTTTGATGAACCCTCATCCCAACTCTCTTCAGACTTCTTTTCTTTGGGTTTTGACACCATGCCTCTTGTTTTCTACCTGATCTGACACCCTAAACTTTGATTTTCGTACCCATGAAATGCTTATTTGCAAATATATGGTTATAGGCTGGAACTAGGTTTTTGTTACCTCCCTAGTCCACATCTTTAAAATGTTTCCTAGTAATGTGTGTTCTGCAAGAAATAAAACTGAGCTATGGTTCTGCAGAAACTTGATAATGTTCTCCCTGGAGGGCTCCTCATTCCTCAGCCTTCTGGGGACTGGCCACGCGATCTTCCCTCATGGGGTGGGCACTCAGCATGTACGTTTTAGACGTATTTGGAACCAGCAAGTTTGGTAGGACAAAGGATGTTTTAAGGATTTAAAGAGAAAAGGAGTCGCCTACATTGAACTCAATCTCGTGCCGAAATTCTTGCAGTCTCTGCCACTGACACCGCATGTGTTCTGGCTTTCGGCAGGATTGTTCTCCCCGGCTTTGCTCTGAAACGTAAAGCCCCATTGCCCACTGCAAGTTTTAATGAAAAGCAGCTCATAAGCAAGTTACGTAACCTAATTGTAATCCAGGGATCAGCTTGGTTATATTATTTAAAGAAATAGCATCCATTTTCCGTGACCTGATTTAGAAAAGAAACTTAGGGAGGAAAAAAAAAATACCCAGTTCAGCATTTGGCTTCCCGTGCTCATTCTAATGAGACTGTTGGTAAATAATTCAGAAACAATGACTTTTAAGAACATTAAACCCAACTTAGCTCAGGGTTCTATCTCAAAGCAGCTAAAGCTACTTAAAGCAAATTATAAATTATTATAAAATATGGAGCTTCTTATTGCAGAAAATTTGGTCATTTAAAAAGTTTATTTCCTCATCAATTCAACACATGCAGAATACTGACTAGATGCAAAATGGGGAATGCTAAAATGCATGGACTGTGCTCTCAGGAAGCCTGAAATCTGGTAGGGGTAATGATAATGTATCAACATTGGTTCATTAGTGGGAACAAATGTACTACAGTAATGCAAGGTGTTAACAGCAGGGGAAGTGGTGTTGGTGGGGGTTGTTACAGGAACTCTGTCCTATCTTTGCAACTTTTCTGTAAATCTAAAAGTATTCTAAAATTAAAAGTTTATTTTTAAAAACCTGGTTAGGGAAACAGTTGGGTACACAAATAGAAACACATCCATCCTTGTTGCCTGATTTATAGAAATAAAACCAGGCCTGCATAATAGGCAGCTTCCTAAGTGGTATGATTGTTTTATGAACTTCAGAAGCACAAAACTGGATTAATCACAGTTCTGATTCATATTAATAGTGTGTCATGAATCAAGGGCTATGACTGGCCCATTGGTTTTTAAATAAACCTCATTTCATTTATTTTCGTTGTATGTGTTATAATAATACAAGAAACCACTCATAACCCCACCTCTCAACCCAAAAGCCAAAAACTCTCCATGACATACATCGACCTACCTGTTCCATCCCATACCAGACCCCAACATTCTTCTCAGTAGTAACTATTCTTTTAAATTTTGTTTTTATCATACATTGCTCTTCTTTAAATTTCATTGCACATTTGCGTGGGCCTAAACAGTATACTAGTTTTATTTGTTTTGAATGTATTATATGTTGTCTTCTAGGACTTGTTCTTTTAGCTCAATACTATATTGCTAAGGTTGATCAATAATGTTGAGATCATACTCTATTCATTTTCACCATTGTGTAACACTCAATAGCAGGACTGTACCACAATTTATTTAACCATGTTTATCAGTGGTTTAATAAATTGTTGCTATTACAAATGGATTGTGCCATGAACATTTTTTTATGTGTGTTCTGGTAAACATATGCTAATGTTTTCATTGAACTAGAGATATGCAAGATTTAACAATCTTAAAACTGCATAAGAATTAAAGCTTGACAGTTCACTTACAGAAATTATGTTAAGCGTGTCTGGGGAAGAGCATATAATACAAATTCTTCACTACTGAAGCAAAGGAAAATATGAATTATACACTAATTTCACACCAGTTAGGATTTGATTTGTCTATAACATAAAACCCAAATTAATCATTCCTTAAACGTATATGTTGCCCTCATGTAAAACATCTGGAGATGAGAAGTCTAAGGCCAGTTTGGCAAGGTCTGCGGAATTGTCATGAACCCAGGCCTCTTCCAGCTTTTCAGTTTGCCATCCCTAGGGTGTGACTTTTATTCTTCTGGTCCAAAAGGGTTGCTCAACTTCTAGTCATTAAATCTGCCTCCTCATCAGCAAGAAGGAGAAAAGGAAGGAAGGAGAGTGCATCTTCCATTCAAGGACACTTTCCCCAAATTGCACGTGACATTTCTAATTGCATCCTATTAACTAGAAGGGGGACACACGGCTCTTGCTAGTTTCAAGGGAGGCTGGAAAATGTAGTCTTTATTCTGGTCATCTTGTATTCAGCTAAAAGTTAAGGGTCCTATTACCTAAACGAATGGGAAAATAGACTTTGAAAACAGTTAATAGTCTCGGAGAATTATTACAGCTAAAGTGAAAGCAGAAAAGAAACCAACCCATCAAGGCCTTATTTTGAGAAGTAGAAAGAAAAACTAAACACCGATAACATCACCACCCAGTGATGACCACGGTTAACTTGTTGAGATGTATTTTTCCAGACTTTTTCATCCATATAAAAAACTACATATATGTCTCCAGTATAGCCATAATAATACCTATATCTATACCAATATATTCACATGTATTAGTCTGTTTTCAAGCTGCTAATAAAGACATACCTGAGACTGGGTAATTTATACAGGAAAGAGGTTTAATGGACTTACAGTTCTACATGGCTGGGGATGCCTCACAATTATGGCAGAAGGCAAGGAGGAGCAAGTCAACGTCTTACATGGATGGCAGCAGGCAAATAGAGAGTTTCTACAGGGAAACTCCCATTTTTAAAACCATCAGATCTCATGAGACTTATTCACTGTCCTGGGAACAGCAGGGAAAAGACTTGCCCCCATGATTCAATTATCTCCCACCAGGTTCCTCCCACAACACGTGGGAATTCAAGATGAGATCTGGGCGGGGGACACAGCCAAACCATATCACCACACATTACTTTTAAAGGGAAAATTTAAATTAGTGCCATCAGTCAAAGGGAAAGATAGCTGGGTTGTTTTCCTCCCTCCTTAAATTCTTAATAAACTTCATGGGAAATGCAACATTGGAGCAACTAGAGAAAAGAGGAGAATGTGGTCCATAATTGAATGCTGATATTTCTCAGGGGTGCCAAATGCAAAATATTAATAACTTTAACTGCATACAGGATGCTCTGGAATAAAGATTTAGAGGTGAATTTAAAATAAAATAATTAGTCATCCCAGAAAACCACAGGCATGTCTTCAGTGGGGATGGTAGAAAACTTTGTGGACAGAAAAATTAATGGACACAAGAACTTTGGGGAAAGCCAGACTAATGGAGTTTTCTAGATCATAGGTTAAAAAGAGTTACAAGTATCAATAACTATTTACCCTGAAGCACACCTTACCAGATGAGCACATGCTAGGCTCTCTGTTCTCTGTTTAAAAGTCTCCTAGATAGTGAACCAACATGGCATATGACCTTTTGTTAAGAAAAAGGACTATTATACAGAGCTGCAAATTCACCCAACAAACACTTACTAGGACTTACTACATGTCAGGTACTTGAGTACAAAAAAAGAACATACCATGGTCCACATCTTCATGGAGACTGTAGTACAGTAAGGCAGACAAGCACCTATAAAGATGAATTGGCTGGGTACAGTGGCTCATGCCTGTAAATCTAGCACTTTGGGAGGCTGAGGTGGGTTGATTTCTTGAACCCAGGAGTTGGAGACCAGCCTGCGCAACGTGATGAAACCCCATCTCTTAAAAAAAAAAAGATGAATTGAAGTTTACTATGTGTCAGACACTGTACTAAGCACTTTACATGCATTGTCTGATTTAGCATTTATGACTATCTATTCTTACCCTCATTTGACAGATCAAGAAAATGAAGCTTATAGGTCAGGTAATTTGATTGAGGTCACAAAGCTAGTAAGTGGCAGAGCTAAGAATCTATGTCACATCTGTCTGACTTTAGAGTCACCACTCTGGGCCACTGAGCTAAACTGTCTTACAGCCCAAGTAGGCAGTGCTATAATAGAAGTTGGTACAAAATTCTGAAGGAACACAGAAAAAGCATCAAATATCTGCCAGGGGAACATTTATACAGTAGTGTCTTAGCCTGTTCAAGAAGCTATAACAAAATACTATACACTGAGTGGCTTATAAATAACAGAAATTTATTGCTCACAATTCTGGAGGCTGAAAGTCCAGGATCAAGGTGCTAGCAGATTTTACATCTGATGAGAACCCACTTTCTCATAGAAAGGCCATCTTGTCATTGTAACCTCACATGGCAGAAGGGGTGGGGATCTCTCTGAAACCTTTTTCATAACGGCATTAATTCCATTCAGGAGCATTCTGCCCTCATGACCTAATCACCTCTCAAAGGCCCCATCTCTAAATACCCTCACATTGGGTATTAGTTTCAAAATATGAATTCTGGGATGGGGGGGTGCACATAAACATTCAAAGCACACAAAGTAGCATAAAGATAAGAAAATATGAAGTCTAAATATAATGTCAGTAAGTGTTAAAATAAAGATCAATGTGAGCATTAATAAATGAATGGAAAATATGAGATTTCTTCCATAGAGCCCATTAAACCTGAATTTTATAGGTAGCTTTTCTTACTGTTTTTGGCTACACAGTTCGATTCTATATCATCTAATGCCTTTATCCTGTTTTAGTAGTTATTCATCTATTATTGACACCTTCATTTTTTTATCAAGCTATTTTCTCTCTTTTTTTTTTTTTTTGAGATGAGATCTCATTCTGCCACCCAAACTTGACTGCAGTGGCACAATCTTGGTTCATTACATCCTTGACCTCATAGACTCAAGTGATCCTCCTGCCTCAGCCTCCCAAGTGATCCTCCTGCCTCAGCCTCCCGAGTAGCTGGGACTACAGGCATGCCACCACACCCAGCTAATTTCCTTTTTTGGTATTTTTGGTAGAGACAGGGCTTTGTTATGTTGCCTAAGCTGGTCTTGAACTCATGGGCTCAAACAATCTGCTCACCTTGCCCTCCCAAAGTGCTGGGATTACAGGCATGAGGCACCATGCCCAGCCTCAAGCTGTTTTCTCCATATACACTGCCTCTACATAATTATCAGCTCATAGTCAGCAAAATGAACCATGTGTGATCCCTTTTAAAAAATCACTGACTAGGGTATATTCTAGCATACTTGGCACTTAGTACATGCTTGAGTTGAAGTGATAACCATTTATTTAAAATTGATTCAGAGTAATGTATATCAGAGATCAGCAGAGAAGATCCAACATATGGAAAATTGGAGTTTATAAAGACTGAAAACAAAACATTAAAACAGAATATTTAAAATTATAATTACCTAATAAAAATGTCTAGAAATAAAAGAATACCCGAATCTACCCATTGAAAGGAAGATACAGAGTTGAGTATGAAGACTAGGCAAGGGCCAGATCATGTAGATCCTTGTAGGCCACTGTGAGAAATTTAAACTTCAATCTGAACGCAATAAAAGTCCTTTGGAGGACTTCAATCAGAAGCACCAGCCTGGGCAATAGGGTGAGACCCCCAATCTCTAAAAATTAAAAATAAAAAAAATAGCCAGGCACGGTGTGTTGTCCTGTAGTCCCAGTTACTAGGGAAGATGAGGCAGGAGGATTGCTTGAGCCCAGTAGTTCAAGGTGAGGCTGCCTGGGTGACAGGGATTTTCTCTCTTAAAGGAAAAAAAGGAAGCACCATTGTTTACACAAAATAGGGAAGTAGAAATGTGTGTGGACTTGAAAAAAAACTAAATATGGGAATGAAGAAATGGTTTTATTTCACAACACAAGGCCTTTCCACTTCCACTTTAATGATGGCAATAGAGAATTGCACACATTCCTTCCATTTATCAAAATTTTCCCCATAAAGAGACTAACTTTATGCAAACTTTTTGGCATGAAAATGCTGGGCACTAAGAACAGCAAGCAATTTGTGGATTAAAGATATAAAATTAGCACTAGAATTGTTGAGATAAGCCTGGTTTATCCTGGCCAGATGATAAGCATGGGAAGTGGCTGGGTAATCAGAAACTAGTTGTCAAGTTAGAACAAGAGCTCCAAAATTATAACTCAGGATTGAGGACGAGACAGTGTGAGGAGGAAAATTCAGAAAACAAAGCTCAGGAGAAGGCCAGAACACTTTACACGGAGCATATCCTGGGAAATCAAAGGAAAAAAATGTCTATTAAAGGGAAGGGTGGTAGAAATGAGATTAGAGAAAAAAAAAATCAGAAAGATCAAAGAAAATCTGGTGCTTTCCATCCAAATCTGTACCTTAATGGATAGAGAAATATTAGGGGCTTCTCTGTCAAAGATTTCATTTTAACTTCACTGTTTATCTTATTTATTTATTTTTTTTTAATTCTTAAGTTTTCACCCTCTGTACTCAAATTATATGTAATTTTCGATTAAAACACTTACATGGATTGTTTTGGTTTTGACAACATGGAATATTAAGCTAATGTGAACTAACTCTCACTACAAATATACTAAAATGCTTTATAAAATAATACAAAAATTTAATTACATAGTCAAGACTGAGAGAAAGAAAGGAAAAAAGAAAAAAAAAAAAAGGAAACCACAAATCCCAAAAACAAAGAGTGATCCATATTAGTGCAGTAAATCCAATTATGCTGTAGTAAACTGGAAAAGTGGATATTTTTTGTGCCTTGAAGCTACAGAAATCCCCAAACTGGTCCAGGATCCATAAAATTTCTTAAGTCCTAGCAAGAGAAAATGTAAAACATCAAAGCAGAGTGACACTCACAGTTCAGGGCACTAAGATGAAGGAAAAAGAACACCTTCTTCAAAAGTTCACAAAATATAAAAGAGATGAATCAATGAACCAGCACGAGGGAGAGCTCATATGTACAACAATGGGAAGAATTTGTATCCTAAGAACTAGCTATCACAGCAAATCGGAAGGAGACTACTTACTACACTAAATATCTATTTAGGTTACAGTTATTAAGGAGTTGACATCAAATTTTAAAACTTCTACTCTGTAACTTCTGTGAGGATGATGAAAAGATAAGGCACGGACTGGGAGAAAATATTTGCAAACCACATATCCAACAAAGGACTTGTATCTAGAACATGTAGGAACTCTCAAAACAGTAAAAAAATAAAATGAAATAAAATAAAAATCTAATTTTAAAATGGGCAAAAGATATGCCCATATATTTCATTTGAAAATAAATACAGGGCTGGGTGCACTGGCTCACGCCTGTAATCCCAGCACTTTGGGAGGCCAAGGTGGGTGGATCACCTGAGGTCAGGAGCTCAAGACCAGCCTGGCCAAAGTGGTGAAACCCTGTCTCTACTAAAAATACAAAAATTAGCTGGGCATGTGGGTGCGCACCTGTAGTCCCAGCTACTTGGGAGGCTGAGGTGGGAGAATCACTTGAACCCAGGAGGCAGAGGTTGCAGTGAGCTAAGATGGCGCCACTGCACTCCAGCCTGGATGACAGAGTGAGACTCCGTCTCTAAATAAATAAATAAATGGAGTAAACTATCAATACATAGAACTTGAATGGATCGCTAGGGAATTATGCTGACTGAAAAAAGCCAATCTCCATAGGTTATATGCTGTATTATTCTACTCATAAAACATTCTTGAAATAACAAAATCGTAGAAGTAGAGAACAGATTAGTGGTTGCCAAGGGTTGGGGATAAGGCAGAAGCATGAGGCAAGTGCTGGTGGTTCTAAAGAGGCAGCATGCTGCAGCCTCGTGGTGATAGAACAGTTCTGTAACTTGATTGTGGTGGTGGTTACACAAAAATATACATGTGGTCGGGCTTGGTGGCTCACCTTTGGGAGGTAGAGGTGGGTCTTGAGCCCAGGAGTTCGAGACTAGCCAGGGCAACATGGCGAAACCCTGTCTCTACAAAAAGTACAAAATAATTAGCCAGGTGTGGTGGCATGCACCTGTAGTCCTAGCTACTCAGGAGGCTAAGGCAGGAGGATTGCTTGAACTGGGGAGGTCGAGGGTACAGTGAACCATGATCATGCCACAGCATTCCATCCTGGGTGACAGAGCGAGACCCTGTCTCAAAAAAAATTTTAAAACTCCAAAGATTTATTTATTTAGAGACGGAATCTCACTCTGTCGCCCAGGCTGGAGTGCAGCGGCGCCATCTCAGCTCACATGCAATAAAATTTCTTAAAACTGCACACACACACACACACACACACACACACAAACATGCCTATAATCCCAGTGCTTTGGGAGGCCAAGGGGGGTGGATCATGAGGTCAGGAGATCGAGAGCATCCTGGCTAATACACCACCATCCTGGCTAATACATCCTGGTGATACACCGCCTCTACTAAAAATACAAAAAATTAGCTGGTGTGGCGGCAGGCGCCTGTAGTCCCAGCTACTCAGGAGGCTGAGGAAGGAGAATCACTTAAACCTGGGAGGCAGAGGTTGCAGTGAGCCGAGATCACGCCACTGTACTCCAGCCTGGGGGACACAGCGAGACTCTGTCTCAAAAAAAAAAAATTGGTGAAGTATGAATTAAATAAATGATTAAAGATAAGTAAGGAAAAAAGAAACCATACTGAAAAAACCTAGGCAGATTTTTAAAATACAGATATAACTTTAAGGAATAAAAACAACTATCACTGAAATGAAAAGCTTAAACAAGTTAAGCAGCAGGTTAGACATAGCTGAAGAGAGATTTCTTAACTGAAAAACAGATTTGAATAAATCACAGAGAATGCAGTACAGAGGGATTAAAGAGAATGGTAAATGTATGAGAAAAGTTAAGAGACACAGAGGACGTAATTAGAAAATACTATATACTTCTAATAGGAGTTCCTGAAGGAGAAGACAGACGGCTAGGCAATGTTTAAAGAAATAATAGATCAAATGTTTCCATACTTATAAAAAAGATCTAAGTCCTTACATTGAAGGAACAAGCTGAAAAAAACACACACACGAATGATGGTAAAACTACAGAATATCAGAGATAAAGTCTTAAAAGCAACCAGAGACAAGACATATGACTACAAAATAATAACTATTAGACTGACAGCAGATTTCTAATCAGCAGCAACAGCATCTTAAAGACTTGATTAGGCCAGGTGCGGTGGCTCACCCCTGTAATCCCAGCACTTTGGGAGGCCGAGGCGGGCGGATCACGAGGTCAGGAGATCGAGACCATCCTGGTTAACACAGTGAAACGCTGTCTCTACTAAAAATACAAAAAATTAGCCAGGCATGGTGGCAGGCGCCCACAGTCCCAGCTACTCAGGAGGCTGAGGCAGGAGAATGGCGTGAACCCGGGAGGCGGAGGTTGCAGTGAGCCAAGATCACGCCACTGCACTCCAGCCTGGACTACAGAGCCAGACTCCATCTCAAAAAAAAAAAAAAAAGACTTGATTAATATCTTCAAAGAACTAAGAGAATATAACTATTTAAGCTAAAATCATATTCATAACTAAAGTATCCTTTAAAATAAGGCTAAAATGAGAATACTTTCAGAGAAATAAAAAAAGTTTATTATTCACAGGGTATCACTGGAGATCTATGAAAATCTATGAAAATTGTTTCTTCCTGGAGTACCTGAAGAAAGAAATTGTAACAAAAATGATGACGTGAGATGCAAAAAAAAGTTAAGATAAATCGGTAAACATGTAAATTAAATCTATACAAATATTGTAAGAACTATAGTAATAATATTGAAAACCAATGTGGGGTTAGAAATAATTGAAATTATAGAAACAACAGAAATTATTGATTGGTAAGTAAAATACCAATCAAGAATAAGATGTCAAATGGGAAATAGGGGAGATCAAATTTAAAGAATATAAGGATGTGGTGGCTCATGCCTGTAACCCTAGAGCTTTGAGAGGCTGAGGCGGGAGGATCACCTGAGGTCAGGAGTTCGAGACCAGCCTGGCCAACAGGCTGGTCTATCAAGAGGATAGAACTCTTGAGTAACTTTAAGCATTGTTAAGGCAAATGTACATGTTAAATATTAACAATAGCAAAAAAACTTCTAAAAATATAGATATAGAATATGTAACTTCTGAGCCAACAAAGAAAAGGACTTAAAAGAATCAAAATAATAGATGACAGGAAAAGAGAAAAAGAGAAGCAAACGATGAGCAAACAGAAAATACAAAATAACTTGCTAAAATTAATACCAAGTATATCAGTGATCAAAGTAAAAGGAAAGAGATTATTTCTGTCGATTAAAAGTATACAGGCTGGGAGGGTGGCTCACGCCTGTAATTGCAGCACATTGGGAGGCTAAGGTAGGAGGATTGTTTGAGCTTAGGATTTGAGGCCAGCCTGGGTAACACAGTGAGACCTGTCTCTACAAAAAAAAAAAAAAAAAAAAAAAATTAGCCAGGTGTGGTGGTGTATGCCTGTGGTCCTAACTACTCAGGAGGCTGAGATGGGAAGATCACTGGAGCCCAGGAGGTCAAGGTTGCAGTGAGCTATGATTGCACCACTGCACTCCAACCTCGGTGACAGAGGGAGACGCTGTCTTTTTTTTTTTTTTTTTTGAGACAGAATCTCGCTCTGTTGCCCAGGCTGAAGTCAGTGGCACAATCTCGGCTCACTGCAACTTCTGCCTCCCAGGTTCAAGCAATTCTCCTGCCTCAGCCTCCTGAGTAGCTGGGACTATAGGCACGCACTACCACACCCAGCTAATTTTTTTGTATTTTTAGTAGAGACGGGGTTCCACCATACTGGCCAGGCTGGTCTCGAACTCCTGATCTCATGATCCACCCGCCTCAGCCTCCCAAAGTGCTGAGATTACAGGCATGAGCCACCGTGCCTGGCCTGAGACACTGTCTTGAAAAAAAAATTGTCTACAATTCTCAGATTGAATTTTAAAAACAATAATGCCCTGCCATTTATTGATGAGAAAAAAGTGATGGAAAAAATGCAGAAAATATATATCTCCTAAAAATCAGATACACCAATGTTATTATTATAAAGAGTAAACATTAAAGAAAAGATATTATTAGTGGAAAGAGTATTATTACATAATAATAATAAAAAGAATAACTCTTTTGGTTGGGCTCAGTGGCTCACGACTGTAATCCCAACAGTTTGGGAGGCTGAGGCAGGAGAATCGCTTGAGCCCAGGAGTTTGAGACCAGCGTGGGCAACATAGGAAGACCCTGTCTCTACAAATAATTTAAAAGTTAGCCAGACATGGCAGCACATGCCTGTGGTCCCAGCTACTCAGGAGGTCAAGGCAGGAGGATCACTTGAGCCCAAGAGGTTGAGACTGCAGTGAGGTGTGATCATGCCACTGCTCTCCAGCCTGCGTAACAAGAACAAAACCTGGTGTCAAAAAAATTTAAAAAAAAGAAAAACAGGCTGGGTGCGGTGGCTCACACCTGTAATCCCAGCACTTTGGGAGGACGAGGCAGGCGGATCACGAGGTCAAGAGATCAAGACCATCCTGGCCAACAGGGTGAAACCCAATCTCTACTAAAAATACAAAAATTTGATGGGCATGGTGGTGCACGCCTGTAGTCCCAAATACTCAGGAGGCTGAGGCAGGAGAATCGCTTGAACCCACGGGGCAGAGGTTGCAGTGAGCCAAGATCATGCCACTGCACTCCAGCCTGGGCGACAGAGTGAGACTCAGTCTCAAAAAAAAAAAAAAAAGAAAGAAAGAAAAAAGAAAAAGAAAAAAAGAAAAAAGAAAAACAGATAATAATTCTTTTTTGTTTTTGTTTTTTGTTGTTGTTGAGACAGGGACTCTCTGTCATCCAGGCTCATGCAGTGGCACAATCACAGCTCACTGAAGTCTGGACCTTCCAGGCTCAAATGATCCTCCCACCTTCCCCTCACAAAGTGCTGGGATTACAGGAGTGAGCTACCATGCCCAGCCTAAAAATAATAATTACGTTTTATTCAATGCTGTTTAATTCAATGTCTCGAACAATGTCTGGGACATAACAGATGCTCAATAAATTAATGGTTGATTAAGTCATGAGGAAGATACAGACCTAACAGCATAGCCTCAAAATGTACAGAGAAAAACTTGACAAACGTCTACAAAAAAATTGAGAAGCCATAATTATCCTGGAAGATTTTTAACATTCTTCACACAGGAAATAATATCAAACAGATAAATTTAGTTAAAGATATAGACTATTTTGTATAACTGACTTAACAAATTCAATTCAATGGACACACATAGGACCTTACACCCAACAAATGGAGAATATGTAACTTTTCAAGATCATTTACAAGACCACATAGAAAACATTTACAAATATTGACTATGTAACACACCATAAAGGAAGTCTTAACAATCACTAAATAATTTCTATAGAGATCATGTTTTCTGAGCACAGTGGGATAAAGTCATAAATAAATAACAAAAATATGTTTTAATAATTCAGTTCCAAAGAAAAATAATAACGAATATAAACCATTAAAATAAATAACTGAAAATGTCACATATTAATCTCACAGGACAAGGAACACATAAGGAAAATTTACTGCGTCATATGTATATATTTTGAAAGAAGAATGAGACGGGTGTGGTGGCTTATGCCTGTAATTCCAGCACTTTGGGAGGCCGAGGCAGGCAGATCACCTGAGGTCTGGAGTTCAAGACCAGCCTGGCCAACATGGTGAAACCCTGTTTCTATTAAATACAAAAATCAGCTGAGCGTGGTGGTGGGTGCCTGTAATCCCAGCGACTTGGGATGCTGAGGCGGGAGAATTGCTTGAACCTGGGAGGTGAAGGTTGTGGTGAGCTGAGATTGTGCCACTGCACTCCAGCCTGGGTGGCAGAGACTCCATCTCAAAAAACGAACAAACAAACAAACAACAAAACAAAAAAAAAACAAAAAAGAAGGTACAAATAAACAATATTGGAAATGAAATAAAGATATAATTATGATTACAATAAAAATACTTTGACCAAATTAGTGCCGATAAATTTGAAGACAAATGACATGTATTTTTTAGATAAATATAAATTATAACATTTAATCAGAAACAGAAACTATTTCTATATCTACATACCTATAATCATAAAAGAAATGGAGTAATTGTTAAATTCCTCACAAAGAAAACATAAAGTTCATATGATTTTATAGGAAAGTTTATTTCCAGAAAAACGAGCTCCAAGATGGAAAGTTCATTTTATGAGGCTAGTATATCCTTGATATCAAAGCCAATGACTGTACAAGAAAGGAAAATTTAAGTCAATTTTGATTATGAATATAAATTTTAAAAACCCTAAACAAAATATTAGCAATTCATATCCAGGAATGTGGTTATTTTCTTCAATCATGAGCAATTTGGGTTTATCACACAAACGCAATAATGAAATACATAAGAAAAAAATCTGTTATTTCAGTTCAACTCATAAATAAATTAAGGAAAACCATGTCATTATCTCAGAGGATACAGGAAAATCAGTCAATAAAATTCTACATCTATTTGTAACTTAAAAAAAACACAAAACTCTAACTAGAATTAGCTAACGAAATAGAAGACTTTCCTAACCTGAAAAGAGGTATCTACCAAAACCTTCGGCAAACGTTGTATTCAACAGTGAAATGATGGGCCGGGCACAGTGGCTCATGCCTGTAATCCCAGCACTTTGGAAGGCCGAGGCAGGAGGATGGCTTGAGTCCAGGAGTTTGAGACCAGCCTGGGCAACATAATAAGACCTCATCTCTAAAAAATAATTTTTAAAATGTGGCGGAGAGGCCAGGCGCGGTGACTCATGCCTGTAATCCCAGCACTTTGGGAGGCTGAAATGGGCGAATCACCTAAGGTCGGGAGTTTGGGACCAGCCTGGACAACATAGTGAAACCCCGTCTCTACTTAAAATACAAAAAATTAGCTGGGTGTGGTGATGCACGCCTATAATCCCAGGTACTCGGGAGGCTGAGGCAGGAGAACTCCTTGAATCCAGGGTGCGGAGGTTGCAGTGAGCCAAGATCATGCCACTGCACTCCAGCCTGGGTGACAGAGTGAGACTCTGTCTCAAAAAAAAAAAAAAATTGGCGGAGAATTGCTTGAGCCCAGGTAGTCAAGGCTGTGGTGAGCCGTGACTGCTCCATTGCACTGCAGCCTGCATGACAGACTGTGACCCAATCTAAAATAAAATAAAATAAAGAAGAAAAAAGTGAAATTTTGGAAACACTTTTAAATTCAGGGAAAAAAAAGACAAAGATGACTGCTATCCCGACTTCCATTTAACTTTGTACTGGAGATCCAGCACAAGAATCAAACAAAATGGGTCAGAATTAGAACCACAGAAATAAAACTATCATAGCACATTAATCATAATTATTTCAAAATTCCCCGTCTGATAAGTCTAACATCTCTGCCATATCTGAATTCTGGTTTTGATGCTTCTTCTGTCCCTTCAAACTGTGTTTTTGCATCTTAGCAGGCCTTGTAATTTTTTGTCGTAAACCAGACATGATATTGATTAAAAGGAACTGAGGTGGACAGGCCTTTCATGTGAGGTTTTATGTTTATCTGCTTGGGAGTCAGGCTTTATTTTCTGTTTGCTGCAGCTGTAGGTGTCAGAGGCTAACATTTCCTCTGGTGTCTTTGTTTCTCTCTCCCCTATTGGCTTTACGTTTCCCTAGAGACTTCTTAAATGTGTCTAAGGCAAGCCATTCCTTGAGCTGTATTCCCCCGTTACCATACAGGAGCCCTATTGCTGTGTTGGTAAGGTGTTGGAAGAAGGGATGGGTTCTATAGACCTATGATTAGGTCTCAGGCTTTTAGTGAGTCTGTGCCTGAGTCCTGACCTTCACAAGCTCTTCTCAGCTTTGTTTTCTTTTTATTCCCCCCTTAGGTGACACAGAAAGGCTGGAGGGAGCCAGAATTGAGTATTTCCCTTCCCTCAGGTTAGTCAATCTCTGGTAAAACCCCAGTCAGTTAGGCCCTGGTAAAACAATTTCTCTTGAGGGCTGGCCTTGTTAAGGAGAATAGAATGTTCTGAGAATATTTCGAAATGGTTACTTTTCCCCTCTCCCTGCCAGAAGGACCGGGGATTCATCTCCAGTGTTGACCATGAGACTGTGGAGGGCTCCTGGAAGTAAAACCCACAAAAGTGTGGGGGCCAGCAAGACTGAACCCCTGTGGAGCCCTTAACTCTCAAATGTGCCCACACTGAGCCTCCAACAACTCAGATGAAGCAGTAAAAACCACTGGCAAAACTTATGACATCTCAACTCTTGAGTAGATGTTTTTATTATTTTTAAATTTCTTTTATTTATTATTGTTTAATAATAATAAATTATAATGTATTTATTATTTATAATTTATTATAAATAAATTGAATAGAGATGGGGTCTTGCTATGTTGACCAGGCTGGTCTCAAACTCCTGGCCTCAAGTGATCTTCCCAGCTCAGCCTCCCAAAGTGTTGGGATTACAGACGTGAGCCACCACGCCTGGCCTCTTGAGTAAATGTCTTTTTTTTTTTTTTTTGAGACAGAGTCTCCCTCTGTTGCCCACGCTGGAGTGCAGTGGCACAATCTCAGCTCACTGCAACTTCTGCCTCCTGGGTTCAAGCGATTCTCCTGCCTCAGTCTCCTGAGTAGCTGGGACTACAGGCGCAAGCGACCACGCCCAGCTAATTTTTGCATTTTTAGTAGAAACGGGGTTTCACCATGTTGACCAGGCTGGTCTCAAACTCCTGACCTAAAGTGATCTGCCTGCCTTGGCCTCCCAAAATGCTGGGATTACAGGTGTGAGCCACTATGCCTGGCCCATGTCTTTTTAATATTAATATTCTGTGTAATTAAATGGGAAAGACACAGAAAGCACTTTTCCACACCAAGGAATGATGGTACTTCTTGCAAGGAAAACCACTTGTGTATTGTTTTGGGCTATGAGCTGAACTAGCCACTTTTTCACAGAACACTATTTTTACTTGAAAGAAAGACTGACAAACTATAGTTATCCAGACTTGAGAACTTGGCAGGCATTTTTTCTCAAAAAAAAAAAAAAGAACAAAATGAGCCTGTCACTTCAAGGAAAGCGACCGACTGCATCTGTTGCTAACGATAAATTTTGAGCTTTCAAGCAAAAATTAGATTTTTGGAAAACTTATGTCCACCACCATGAACTTGATGGTTTCCCAATTTTTAAAAACCTTTATGGTTAAATCAGTGGTGCTATAAATAAATGTGGGTTTTTGATACTGTAGAATGAAATCTGTCAACATTTGTAAGACATGTATAATTCAGCAAACCAATATTTTCGAAATGACCATGAAAGATCAATAGGTTTTAACATGATAGAGCATGAGAAATACATTGATATGATTTCAGATTCCACTTTGCAGCTAATCTTTAAGAAACTATTATTTGCTAACTTTTGATTTAGTTTTTTTGATAAATCAAATTACTGAGGCTATTAAAATACTATTCTCTTTCACAACTGCCTATCTGTGTGAGGCTTGCATTTCTTTATATACTTTAACCAGACAACATGTTGCAACACATTGAAAGCAGAGGCAGATATGAGACTTGCAGCTGACTTCTATTAAGCCAGACATGAAAGAGATTTACAAAAATATAAAACAATGCCCCTCTTCTCATTAATTTTCTTGGTTTGGTAAAATATAGTTTTTTTCATTAAAAAGCATGTTATTTGTGTTAAAATATGATGGGTTTATGATTTTTAAATGAATTAATAAATACATATTTTCACATTTCTCAATTTTAATTTTGAACACTATAAATATCAATGGATATAATCCACGTCAAAAAAAGCTACTTGGGGACCTTAATAATTTTAACAGTATAAAACGATCCCAAAAGCAAAACTTTGAGAACAATTGCCCCAAGAAAAATATCTCCAGCTGGGCTCGGTGGCTCATGCCTGTAATCCCAGCACTTTGGGAGGCCGAGGTGGGCAGATCACGAGGTCAGAAGTTCGAGACCAGCCTGAGCAACATGGTGAAACCCCGTATCTACTAAATATACAAAACCTAGCTGGGCTTGGTGGTGCATGCCTGTAATCCCAGATACTCGGGAGGCTGAGGCAGGAGAATCGCTTGAACCTGGGAGGCAGAGGTCGCAGTGAGTCGAGATTGTGCCACTGCACTCCAGCCTGAGTGACAGAGCAAGACTCCGTCTCAAAAAAACCCCCAAAACTCCCCCACCCCCCAAGAGACACATATAAGACTATTCATTGCAACGATGTTTGTGATTACCCCCCAAATTAAATTACTTAATGTCTTTCAATAAGAGTATGGATGAATACTTTTTGATATAGTCACATAATAAAATATATTTTTAAAGTTAAAAAAATGAATGTGTTCGATTTACATGTATTGGCTGGGCGTGGTGGCTCACCCCTGTAATACCAGCATATTGGGTGGCCAAGGTGGGAGGATCACCTGAGGTGAGGAGTTCGAGACCAGCCTGGCCATCATGGCAAAACCTTGTCTCTACTAAAAATTCAAAAATTAGCCAGGCATGGTGGCATGAGCCTGTAGTCCGAGCTACTTGGGAGGCTGAGGCAGAAGAATTGCTCGAACCCAGGAGGTGGAGGTTGCAGTGAGCTGAGATCGCACCACTGCATTCCAGCCTGGGTAACAGAGCGTGACTCTGTCCCAAAAAAAAAATAAATTTTCAAAGATTTACATATATTAATGTGGCTGATTCTGAAACATGGTGAGGGAAATAAAAACACTTTGCAAAAAGAGAAGTACAAAATGATACCACTTACATTTCAAAAACAAAGAGAAGGATATCTTTGTTTATAGATACACCGGTATGTAGTAAGAACATAGGCCGGGCGCGGTGGCTCACGCCTGTAATCCTAGCACTTTGGGAGGCCAAGGTGGGTAGATCACAAGGTCAGGAGATCGAGACCATCCTGGCCAACATAGTAAAACCTCGTCTCTACTGAAAATACAAAAATTAGCTGGCCATGGTGGCGTGCACCTGTGGTCCCAACTACTTGGGAGGCTCAGGCAGGAGAATCACTTGAAACCGGGAGGTGGAGGTTGCAGTGAGCCAACATTACACCACTGCACTCCAGCCTGGCAACAGAGCGAGACTCTGTCTCAAAAAAAAAAAAAAAAAAAAAAAAAGAAGAAGAAGAATATAAACCCCTGGTTGTGGTTTACATAGAAAAATACCTACTAACTTCAGGATGGGAGTGGGGAGTGGAGCCAGGGGAAGAAGGGGTAGGTTTTAATGTATACCAAATTGTTTAGAAAAAGTTGTGAAGTAAATGTGTCACAAAGTTAATATTTATCGATCTGGGCCTTAGGTGTTGTTTCTGTTCATTTGAAATATTCCAGTATGAACATATGCTTATTTTTAAATGCCTCGGTGCATTTGCTCTCAGTTAGTAAAGAAAACTTCAACTGGCTGTTTCCCGATGGAATCCACTTTCTCCACCCAGGGCTGGACCACCAGCTGCCCCGCTTTTTGCCGGCTGCTTGCTGACCCTAATAGATGGCTTGGGATATTCGAAGGGTAATGTCTTTTCTGTCTGCAAAGCTCTTGATCCTGGGTTCTCAGTCATGGTTGCAAAGGAAATTCTCCCTCAGATTTCTTACAGAACTCCTGCAGCTGTCAGGCAGGGCAAGAAGCCAAAATACCCAGGGAACAACTTGAACAGGCATCAGCATAGTTCCCGCTCAGAGCAGGAGTCCCAACAGAGAGTATCCTGTTCCTGTTCCTTTTCCTTTTGAAGCCAGAGATCAAGCCTTTGATTTGTGTGGTGATGATTATCATGTAGCCTGCTGGGTGTACCGGGCTCTGGGAGTGGAGCTAAGAGGCACCTAATTCCCCCAGCGCTCCCCAGAGCCTCCTGAGCCCCAGCAGATAACTTCATAGTCAAGCTGAGATTGTCTTTTTGCCTTTAAATTCATACATGCAGCCCGGAGGCCACTCAGCTTCCCGGTATTTTCATTAAGAATCCCCTCAGCAGTCATTTTCATACTTCATAGCCTCTGATAAGGAGGAAAGAGCTTGCTATTCTGGCTTTGTTTCTGTTTGAAGAGTGCGTCCCCAAAGGAATTCTATGTGTCCCAGATTCAACACAGCTGTTAATTAGAGCTGAGAACACTTGGTTGACCCCTGTGTGGCTAATTGCTAGAACTGAGAAGCGTCTCTAAGGGCCTCCCATGATAACAACTGAAAATTGTATTGAGCCTCACCTAACGCTTCTGGATCCAGTTCAGGATGGAAAGCAATAGGCTCCCTGCGGTTCCTGGCACAGGAGAGACAGCTATGTGCTGAAGGAGCAGCATTAAGGATTCTCTTCAGTGATTAAAACACCCACATTTCACTTTGGATGTGCGACTTGAGGCAGTGCACTCGGAAGGGCTGATGGGAGAGCTCCGAACTGTGCAATGGCGCAGGCGTGGCCTACTTCGGAGGGCTTCAGCTACTCCCTTTATGTTATGGTCTGATGCCAGCACTGCCACCACCTCACCCCCAGTTCCGTGGGACGGAGTGTGAGACAACTCCTGTCGGGACCCTAGGCCAGCTTCTGAGGTGGGGCCTCAGGCAACCATTCTATCACCTAGCCCTTAAAATGAGAAAAACGCTTAAAAATCACCCAGCTCCCTGCCGGGCCCACAAGGGTGGCATCGCCTCCCTGCCCCGTTTGCTCTGCGGACAGGGAACAACAGTGGAAACAGCCAGAAACAGAAAGGTGGGCTGACAAGAGCTCGGTCTAGGTGGGAAAGGAGAGAAGATGAGGAAGAGAGGCCTCAAAATGAACTCTGGAAGTCAGAAACACTGTCAGAGGGACAGTGATCAGGGAGAAAAAAATGGGGACCATGACACAGAGAGAGGAGGAGGCATGAAGGATGGAAGAGGAATGGATGAGACCAGCCAAAGACAGTGATAAGAGAAGTGGCTCTTCCTCCTTTCTCCCCAGGTCCTGGGGAGAGAGAAAATAGCAGAGCTGATGGTGAGTGTTTTGGCCTTCTCAGCCAAGAGGCCCAGAGCATACCCCAGATAGTTTAGTGCTCTGGCCAACTCCACCCCCCAGGCCTGGCCTACAGGAGGTGACCTGGAGCCAGCAGTGTAAGGAGAGACTTGTGATCCCTTTTCCAGAGGAGGCTCAAACTATGGGTCCAATTCCAGGGAGTAACAGCAACAGAAAAGCAACCCAGAGTCAGCCTTGCCCAAGGCCAGGTTGGGGAAAGACCCAAAGGAAGCTGGAGGAAAAGGAATCAACTTCACGCTCTCATAGACCATAGACTGGCTGTCAAGGGTACCTTGCTCCAGGGACAGCTGGGAACCCCACAGATCTTGAGTCTCTAATTGAACCTTTCAGACCCTTTCTTCTAACAGACACTTCCTCACTAACAAACATACACAGAGGGCCCTGGGAGGGCTCAGCCTAGGTTGAGCAAGGATAGGGGAAAAACAGAGACAGCGAGCATGGCTGCTGTCTGCAGGCAATGGCTTGGAGAAAAAAAAACAAATACGGGCTGGGCATAGTGGCTCATGCCTGTAATCCCAGTGCTTTAGGAGGACTGCTTGAGCTCAGGAGTTTGAGACCAGTCTGGGCAACACAGCAAGATCCTGTCACGGTGGCATGCATCTGTAGTCCCAGCTACTCGGGAGGCTGAGGCAGGAGGATTGCTTGAGCCCAGGAGTTTGAGGCTACAGGAAGCTAGGATCATGCCACTGCACTCCAGCCTGGGTGACAGAGCAAGACTCTGTCTTTTAAATAAAACTTGAATACACAGGAAATCACAGTGTACAACACAGAAGAGCATCAAATGATTAGCTAAACTGTGTAGTGTAGGCTCAAAGTCTGTAGGGACTGGGAGGTGGGCCGATTAGGGCTGGAGTAGTCAGGGAGACTTCACCGAGGAGGTAGGACTTGAGCATCAGTGAAGACTTCCAGGGTCTTCAAAGTCAGAAGTGCTTTACTTGGGTAAAATGACACAGCTGATCTCACTTGACTGGAAGGCTCATGGTAGAGAATGATGAGAAGTCACGGTCCTTTATTGCCATAAAATGTACACGAAGCTGTATATTTTGAGACTTTTCATGTAAGTTTTCATAATTGCTCCTTACAAGCCTTCTAAGAAAAAATTTTTATTTTCAGAATTAGAAAACAGCTCAGATTTTATACCATCCCGGCTCCCCGTATTACATTTAATAAAATGAATCCCAAAGGTCAAGGGACTAACTCAAGGTTACACAGTTAACAAGAGCCAGGACCCTACGTCAGGTCTTATTATTCTACTCAAACAGACTTTCCAAAAGCTGGATAGATGCAGTTTTGTTTTCATTTATATGGAATTACTTTCTAAAATAGAGACCTACAAGAAAAAGAGTAATTTTATGTTTTTCCTTACAATAAGAGAAATATATAATCTTCATAGAAAGCTTAGAAAACGTAGATAAACCAAAAATTAAAATCATCCATAATCACCATAATCACAGCATCTAGTTCATAGGCTTTTTTTAATTAAAAAACAAAACAAAACAAAACAAAACAAAACAAAAAAACAAAAACAGAGATGGGGTTGTGCTATGTTGCCCAGGCTGGATTCAAACTCCTGGGCTGTGCTCAGCTTCCTGAGTAGTTGGGACTACAGGCGTACACCAGTGCACCCAGCTCTAGGCTTTTTGAAAATCATTAAAAGTTTATATTATTTTCAGTTGACCCTTACATACAAGTAGCTTTATCAGGAGCAAATGTCTCTGGTACCTTTAAGGAGAGGCATTTCAGGCAGGACAATGTGGTAGGAAGAACGTAAGATCTGGAAGCCAAAGATCTAGGATCAAGTTCTGTTTCAGTCATTACCAGCTGTTTGATCTTCCATAAATCAGGGAACTTCCTTGGGTTTCACTTCCTCATTTGCAAAATGCTGGGGGTCCAGTGATCCACTTAGATGTCTGTTCTGAGTCTGGACTTCAAAAATCAAACATTGTAAACTTGGAACAGTTAGGGCCAGGCACAGTGGCTCACGCCTATAATCCTAGCACTTTGGGAAGCCAAGGTGGGTGGATCACCTGAGGTCAGGAGTTCGAGACCAGCCTGGCCAACGTGGCGAAACCCTGTCTCTACTAAAAATACAACAATTAGCTAGACGCACGTCCTGTTGGCGCGTGCCTGTAATCCCACCTACTCAGGAGGCTGAGGCAGGAGAATTACTTGAACCCGGAAGGTGGAGGTTGTAGTGAGCTAATATTGCGCCATTGCATTGCAGCCTGGGCAACAAGAGCGAAACTCCATCTCAAAAAAAAAAAAAAAAGAAAGAAAGAAAGAAAAAGAAAAGAAAAGAAAAAACTTGGAACAGTTAATTAAAACAAAACAAAACAATATGTGATGTTTTTAAAGGAATGTAACAGCATGTTAAAATAGGGCTTTTCCTTTCTCAGAGTTTTGGCTGAGGCTTCAAAACTGAGAACAATAGGTTTCAGTCCCTCCTCCACATCCTAAGTGAGGTACAAGACTGTCCAGGCAGGACTTGCAAAGAGAGTGGCCTTGTGCCAGTTCTGCCATGGTTAGACCTTCACCCATCTCCAGGCTTCCTAAGAGAAGGGACAGAGAGGCTGCGTTCTGATATCAGTGGAAAAAGTTCTTGAGTGGAAGGCTGGTGGGTGGCAGTAGAGCAAAGCCAGGGGACCCAGAAGGAACAAGCCACACTTGCAGAAACAGTGGGGAAGTTTGTGCCAGGGGGACATGAGGAAGAAAGCTGGACTTGAGTCATCTTACAGACCCTATCTAAGAGGACCTTCTGGATGATTCCAACATAAGAAACACTATGCGGGATGGTCAACTGGAATTCAAGTCATAAAGGGGAGAATGGAAGAGCCTAGCTAAAATGGGCACTGTCCAAGTCAAGGGAATGCTTAGTAGGAGGGCCAAAGGAGGAAGGGTCTCTAAACAAATTCTCAAAAGCACCTCACTAGAGAAATACCCGTTAGATCTGCTACTTACCAAGGGTGCTGTGATTACAACTCAAGAGCCACTGAAGGCCTCTGTTTATTTAATCCCCTCTCTCCTGGGCCCAGCTAATGCAAGAGGAGGAGAAACAAAGAGAAGACAATGACTGGAACCCCCTTCTTCCCTATATGCTTGCAAGCCTAAGTTTGCTCACACTAGTGACAGGGAGAACTTTAATTTGGATAAGAAATTAAAATTTTGATATTTGATTGGACTGAACTTTTCAATACCTGATGATAAACGGAAAACCATGGGTAGGGGCTGGGTGCCATGTCTCACGCCTGTAATCCCAGCACTTTGGGAGGCCGAGGTGGGCAGATCACTTGGGCCGTGGAGTTGGAGACCAGCCTGAGTAAAATGAGGAAACCCTGTCTTTACAAAAAAATACAAAAATTAGCTGGGTGTGGTGGTGCATGCCTGTGGTCCCAGCTACTTGGGAGGTTGAGGTGAGAGGCTCAGCAGAGCCTAGGAGGTCAAAGCTACAGTGAGTCATGATTGCACCACTGCACTCCAGCCTGCATGACAGAGCGAGACCCTGTCTCAAAAGAAAAAAGAGACAACCATGGATGGGTAGGGAAGAAAGATTTGAGAGAGTAGGGACATTCTTTCTCAATCCATTTTGTGCTACTCTAACAGAGCATCTGAAACAATAATTACTAAAGAGCAGAGATTTATTTCTTACAGTTCTGGAGGCTACTAAGTCCAAGGGGCCCACATTGATCAGATAACCTTCTTCTTTCTTTCTTTTTTTGAGACAGAGTCTCACTCTGCCACCCAGGCTGGAGTGCAGTGGCGCAATCTGCAATTCTCCAGGCTCAGTCGAGTAGCTGGACTTACAGGCCCCTGCTACCACACCCGGCTAATTTTTGTATTTTTTAGTAGAGATGGGGTTTCACCATATTGGTCAGGCTGATCTTGAACTCCTGACCTTGTGATCCACCCAACTCAGCCTCCCAAAGTGCTGGGATTACAGGCATGAGCCATCACACCCAGTCTCTTGCTTTTTTTTTTTTTTTTTTTTGAGACTGGGTCTTGCTCTGTTGCCCAGGCTGGAGTGCAGTGGTGCAATAATGGCTCACTGTGGCCTGGACCTCCGGGGCTCAAGCAATTCTTCCACCTCAGCCTCCACAGTAGCTCGGACTACAAGCACATGCCACCACACTCAGCTAATTTTTTTATTTTTTGTAGAGATGAGGTCTCACTATTGTTGCCCAAGCTGCTCTCAAACTCCTGGGCTAAGAGATCCTCCCACCTCATCCTCCCAAAGTGCTGGGATTACAGGTGTGAACCAACACATCCAGCCTACCAGGGACCTTCTTGCCGCATCATCCCATGGCAAAAGGTGGAAGGGCAAGACAGCATGGACCCATGCATGCACATGAAAGAGAGGAAGAGAGGGAAGGAGAGAGAGAGGAGAGGGGAGAAGGAGGCAATGAGGGGAGGGGAGAGGGCTGAAATCATCCCTTTATCAGGAACCAACTCTGGCAGTAACAAACCCACTCCCTCAGTAATGACCTTAAACCATCAGTGAAAACAGAGCCCTCATGACCTAATCACGGCTTAAAGATCCCACCTCTCAACACCATTGCATTGGGGATTAAATTTCCAACATATGAATTTCGGGGGACACATTCAAACCACAGCATAGTTATAAGATAGGACAAGTGCTTTCTGTTTGAGCCATCCCAAATCCATCTTGTTTAATATACTGGTTACAGGGGAATAACTTTGGGGAGTTGGGGAAGGATTGATTGCAAACGGGAGAGACTAGCATCTATTGTCTAGATATTAGACAAGGAGGCACTGTGGGCTGAGGCTATTCCTGAGGTAAACCTGGCAGGACTTAATGACTGCTTAGATGTGGAAGGGAAGAACGGTGGATGACTCATGACAGCTTCTAAAGTTTCTAGCCTGAGAGTCTGAAAGATGGCGACTTGATGGATAGCAATGCCACATTCTACGGCTGAAAATGTGTTCTATAGAGACCACACACTTAGGTCAACGATGCTGCGTTTTTGGAACTCTTCAACTGAGTTTCTTCGGAGCCAATGGCTTCTGAGCCAATTCATGAGTCATATAAAAGAATCAATCTCATTACTTTTCATTTCTTCAGTTTTTCATTTAGTCCATCACTTAGCAAGCTTTCGTTAAGTGTTCCCTATGCATTATGATGCACTGTGTTAGTCACTGCAGAGAAAAATCAGCAGGACACGGGGTCAGTCCTCAAGAAGTTCAGCCTACTCCAGTTAAAGATTGGGGTAACCATGGTTTTTGTGGCCTTATCCCCCTTTAACTCCTTTATGTCACTGTTCTTCACGTAAAAAAGAGCAGAGTATCATGTACATTGGGTATAGACCATCTTAAGTCCATGACCTTATCACGTTTTGTCTGAGTTATTTTAGGTCCTGCAGAACTTAGGTTGTTATGACAACATGGCCCAGAAACTTGATCTCTGTCCAAATTTGTACTTTCTAAATGTAAGCAGACCCTCAAAATCAGTCTAAAAATCACTGGCACAAAATGTACCCACACAGGCCCATACAAATGTGTTTTCTCTGCTTGTCTGTCTCTCACTATACCTGTAATGCGCGCACACACACACACACTTACGCAAACACACTTATTCATACCAATCAGATTCCGTTCAATCTGATAACAATATATATCTAATATTCAGAATATCAAAGTTTTATGCTAAATCCTCTAGGGAATATGAAAAATTTAAAACATAGTTCTTTCTTTCCAGAGGCCCATAGCTTAGTAGGAAAAACAGATACTTTATAAATAGGGATATGTATGCCGGGCGCCGTGGCTCACACCTGTAATCCCAGCACTTTGGGAGGCCGAGGCAGGCAGATCATGAGGTCAGGAGATTTGAGACCATCCTGGCTAACACGGTGAAAGCCAGTCTCTACTAAAAATACAAAAAATTAGCTGGGCATGGCAGCACGCACTTGTACTTGGGAGGCTGAGGCAGGAGAATCGCTTGAACCCGGGAGGAGGAGGCTGCAGTGGGCCAAGATCGTGCCACTGTACTCCAGCCTGGGTGACAGAGTGAGACTCTGTCTCAAAAAATAAATAAATAAATAAATAAATAAATAAATAAATAAATAAATAGGGATATGTGACGCAAAGTTAGCAATGAAGTGATGTAATAAAAGAATAAGCCAATTAACAAAGGAGAAAATCTACAATAACCTCTTATACTTAAGTTGCTTATTTTTTGGACCTCAGGGGCAGAGATCTGAGTTCCTCATACTCCAGTGTGCTCAACAAACATTCTCATAGCACCTATCATGTAGCAGGCACCTTTCTTGGCCATGAGAATATGTGTTTTTTTTTTTAAGAGGCGGAGTTTCATTCTGTTGCCTAGGTTGGAGTGCAATGGCATGATCTCGGCTCACTGCAACCTCAAGTGATTCTCCTGCCTCAGCCTCCTGAGTAGCTGGGATTACAGGTGCGTGCCACCATGCCCAGATAATTTTGTAGTTCTTTTAGTGGAGACAGGGTCTCACCAAGTTGGCAAGCTGGTCTCCAACTCCTCGTCTCAAGTCATCCGCATGCCTCGGCCTCCCAAAGTGCTGGGATTACAGGCGTGAGCCACTGAGCCCCGTGAGAATATGTGACTTTTATTTAAATTGGGGGTACAGTCATTAAACAAGCAAATATCTGATAGTGGTGACAGTGGAAAAATTAAAAGCAGGATGGTGAGATAGCAAGTCCTTAGATGGTTCTTTGGTTTGGGTGGTCAGAGAAAGCTTCTCTAAGGATGTGACATTTAAGTAAGACCTGTGCAACAGAAAGGAGCCCACCTTGAGAAGGAAGACCAGAAGGATGAGCATCTCAGACAAATGGAACAGCTACCCCCAGCAAGAATGCATTGTGCACACTGGAGAAACTAAAAGAAGCCAGGAGTGCCTGGAACACTGTGGGCAAAATGGGGAGAAGAGGATGAGATGAGATTGCCTAGGTGGGCAGTGATCAGGTAATGTAAGACTAGATTTGAAAATAATACAAAGTTTGAGGCTGGGCGTGGTGGCTCACGCCTGTAATCCCAGCACTTTGGGAGGCCAAGGCGGGCGGACCACAAAGTCAGGAGATCAAGACCATCCTGGCTAACACGGTGAAACCCCGTCTCTACTAAAAATACAAAAAATTAGCCAGGCGTGGTGGTGGGTGCCTGTAGTTCCAGCTACTTGGGAGGCTGACACAGGAGAATGGTGTGAACCTGGGAGGCGGAGCTTACAGTGAGCCGAGATGGCGCCACTGCACTCCAGCCTGGGTGACAGAGACTGTCTCAAAAAAAAGAAAATAATATAAAGTTTGATTGGTCTTTAAGCACATTGTACACACACACACATGCACACACAATGTGAATGTGCATGCACACACACAGACACACACACACACAGTTCCAAAAATGTTTCAAGCTTTGGCAGAACTGCTGGAAACTATGACTGCTTTGAAAGAAATAACATTCATTTGGAAGAAGCTTAAAAACTCATTACTTCATATCCACATCTAATACTTAATTTGACTAGGAAAATCTAAAGAACAAAAGGATATTTGCAAACTGTACATGAGCTCTAAGTTTTATCGATGGTATCACTTAACAGAGTGTAGGAAAAGCCATGGCCAGGGACTCCCAGAGAACAGTTTAAAAACAAGAAACTCCGTGATAGCAAGCAGAAGGGGTGAAGCAATTCCCACTCTGAGGGGGTGAGGAAGGACAGTTTTTGCTGTGCTTCTGGTTAGGCCAGAGGTGTTTGCTTGCCACATTCTTGTCATTGGTTCTGGACAAGGGGCCCCTCTCGTATTTTATATTGCCATTTCCTCAATCTTCACTTCCATAGGCATCCTCTCTAGTATGTTTGGAATATGTCCTCAGAGAGAGTTATTTATCTTTGATAGATACGTGGGTTGTTCCATGAATGTGATTTTAACTAGCCAACATGATATTGTTCTATCTCTCATTTATTCACACCGTACTATGAATTGTAGTTCATCCATGTTGCTCCGTATATCTAATTCATCACTTCTAATTGCTACAGAGTGTTTTGTGATAAGGACCCTTCATATTTTAGTTATTCATTTCCCTAGAGATGGATACTAGCTTGATGCGCACTTTTTTTTTTTTTCTTTTTTTTTGGAGACGGAGTCTTGCTCTGTTGCCTAGGCTGGAGTGCAGTGGGTACAATCTCGGCTCACTACAACCTCTGCCTCCCAGGTTCAAGTGATTCTCCTGCCTCAGCCTCCCAAGTAGCTGGGACTACAGGTGTGCACCACGACGCCCAGCTAATTTTTGTATTTTTAGTAGAGACGGGGTTTCATCATGTTAGCCAGGCTGGTCTCGAACTCCTGGCCTCAAGTGGTTCACCCACCTCAGCCTCCCAGAGTGCTGGGATTACATGCAATGAACATCCTCATAAAGGTGAACTTTTGGGCCTGAGGTGAGCTTCTCTTGGGGGCTGCAGGGCCAAAAAGGCTCCTGTCACTCAGCTTCTCTGGGGAAGGTTGGATTGCTGTCCTGAATGAATGCACTAGTCCGTGTGCCCATTATATTTTCACAATTGATTTCTACAGAATACACTGAGTCTTGGGGACATTTGGTGGCATATTCAAGGTCAAACATGTACAAGTCTCAGAATCAAGATCCAAGTCTTCCCCTTCAGTCTACAGCTTTTTCCATTGGGAAAATGCCTTTCTGAGGAAGCTGACACTTACCTACATGATGTTCATAAACACAGACACCAAGTTTAGTTGAATTACTCTTTAAGGAGTATAATTATCCTTCTCTGCCCTCATTCCATGATGATTGATTGAAATGCAGACACAAGAGACACTAGGTTTTTTTCTTTGCGAGGTCAAGGTTTTATTTCCTTTCATCATGAAATCACCTGTTCTAAGCAAGTATGTGCTAAGGATAAGTTACTTCCTTTCCATGAAGGAACTTACCATCTAATTTCCTTTCATAGCACAGTCAACAACAATACAGATAGCAGATTTTGTAAAATTCTCCTGTAGTTCTGTGTTCTTGCATCTGCATCCCATCACTTCAGAATCCCGCAAAATCGACAGCTTTACCTGGTTCCTGTTCTCCATTTCCAGAGACTACAAACTCCCTCAAACTTCAGGTCCCCAATATCAGTCATTTAGGAAGACATTTTTGAGGCTGGTGGACACTGCCCAATGTGTATGTAGCACAGTGAGTTTGTTGAGAGCACAGTGCTTTCTGAGCAGGTATGACAGAACCAAAAACTGAATCCATTTTAGCTACAGTTGGTTGTGCCCTTGGGTTTGAAATAATTACTTTCCTAGACATGTGGTTCCCAGATGAAAGCCATGCTGTGATTTGATTTTTTTAAATGCAAAAAAAAAAAAAAAGAAAAAATTCTGTAGCAGAAAATTCATCACCAACATGTTAAGGAATTTGATGACTAAAAATAATCTCCCCACAGAGTGCATTAACGTGGTGTGCAGATTTGGGAAAAGGATGAACCCACTGGGGAGTCTGTATGATTACACCTGTAATCCCAGCACTTTGGGGGGCCAAGTTGGGTGGATCATGAGGTCAGGAGTTGGAGACCAGCCTGGCCAACAGAGTGGAAACCTGTCTCTACTAAAAATACATAAAATTAGCCAGACAAGGTGGCAGGCGCCTGTAATCCTAGCTATTCGGGAGGCTGAGGCAGAAGAATTGCTTGAACCCGGGAGGCAGAGGTGACAGTGAGCCAAGATCACGCCACTGCACTCCAGCCTGGGTGACAGAGCGAGACTCCATCTCAAAAAAAAAAAAAAAAAAAAAAGAAGAAAAGGAATGACATCAACAATGAACTGGGGCAGCTTTTGACTTGCTTAGCATCAAGAGGCTGTCCCACATGACAAAACAATATTTGAATCAATTAAATAACAGGTGATTACAAATATTATGGATACTAGCCCTCGAATCAAATTAACTCCCTAAAGGCAAGTTACAAGTCAGGGAGAGCTCAACACAAGATATTCTCAGCATCTTTTGATTCTGTGTTGGAATCTGGACTTGACAGTCAACTCCATACACAATTAGGTGGAGCCCACTCTTCCTTCTCAGAAAATGATTCTCCTAGTTCCTGGAGAAAAAAAACCACCTAGTTGTTTTAAAAGTAGAAAAGCATTAAAGCCAGGAATTACCATGGGGCAGGCAGGTAGCATGAGTAATGTTAGGTGAAGGTTGAAGACACTGACGTATTTAAACACTGAGTCTCTAAGCCCAAGGCCATTCATTATTAAGGCTCTAGGGACTTGGGACCAAATTTCGTCTGCATTAGTGTTTTTTTTGCTTCTGTGTTTGTATTAGCTTCAATGCGTGGTTTTTCTGTGTCCTGGGAGGGGCATGAAGTCTCTAGTTAGCCCTAGCTCCCCCACTCCCTGTTGTCTTACATCCCCACATGGTGGTTAATTTTATGTGCCGGCTTGGGTGGGCCATGGTGCTCAGATATTTTGTCAAACATTATTCTGGATGTTTTATGTGCAGGTGTTTTTTGAATGAGATTAACATTTAAATCCGTGAACTTTGGCCAGGTGCGGTGACTCACGCCTGTAATCCCAGCACTTTGGGAGGCCAAGACAGGCAGATCATTTGAGGTCAGGAGTTCAAGACCAGGCTGGCCAACATGGTGAAACCCTGTCTCTACTGAAAATGCAAAAATTAGCTGGGCGTGGTGGCAGACACCTGTAATTCCAGCTACCCAAGACGTTGAGGCATAATCGCTTGAATCCGGGAGGCAGAGGTTGCAGTGAGCCAAGGTTGTGCCACTGCACTCTAGCCTGGGGAACAGACTGAAACTCCATCTCAAAAAAAGAGAGAGAGAGAGAGAGAGAGAGAGAAGGCAGGAAAGGGGCAGAGAGAGCAAAAGAAGAGATGCAAAGGCTTCCATTCCATTGATTTTTCTCTTGATTGTCTAGCTCAGCACTGTCCAATAGAAATAGAATGCAAGCCATATATATAATTTTTAATTCCCTAATATCACATTAAAAAGGTATAAAAAGAATAAATAAAATCAATGTTAATAATGCATTTTATTAATGTGTTTTATTTAACCTAATATATTTAAAATATTGTCATTTCAACATACGGCACCAGCTACATTTCAAGTGCCCAATAGCTGCACATAGGTAGTGGGTACCGTATTGAAGAGCTCAACTCAATATCCCAGAACTCATTTCCTACAGCCCCCAGGGCCTCCCAGCACCCTGCTCTCTGATCACAGATTCCAATCACATTTCCCTCCATGATCCAGGGTTTCCCTGCCACACACACTCAACTCTCCCAACCAGATAGGAGAAATTTTACTGGCTTTTTTCATCTTATTTTTTCTCTGGCTCTAAACCAATATCTGACCTTTGGCAATGTGCTTCATTTCACCTGCTCTGGTGAGAGGTAGTGAGATTTTTTTTCCTCTTTCCCTGTTTCATCTTTGTCTGTCTGGCATTTGGCATACGGCCTGGCACATGTCACTGCCTCACAGGTGAGTGACTTTGGGGCATTTAAACAGGAGGGAGGTTCGGAAGACCCGGTGAGGGTAAAATCATGAAGATCAGGCTGTTTATACCAGGTGCCTTGATGAGCTACATCTTCACCTTTGGGATAAGTGCTCAAAGCCTTCAGGCTTTCCCCCTTGAGCTGGCTTCCCATGGGCAATGGTCAGGCCAGCTGTATGGCACAGAGCCTCCCACAAAGCTGGACTCAGCAATGTCTGAAAAACCCAACTGAATCGACTTCAGGCAGAAGAGACTAGCCAACTGTGGGGCCTGAGCTGAGACTCGGGCAGGAATACCTACTGGAAATTGGCCCAGGGAGGGAGCCACGCAGCTCTCTGAGTGAAGAGTGTTCTGTGCAGCAGGGGGACGTGTTTCTGCAGTTGGAGGAGCAGCTCGCTTAGAGGGAATATCGTCCTGGATATGGCCATGGCAGCAGCCATCTCACCAGGCCGGTTCCACACTATGGTTCTGAGAGTTGTTACTGGAAGCTCAGCTGAGAGCCTGTTCTTCCAGCCCTTCCAATGCTTATATGAGCTACTTAATAAATCCCTTTCTGCCTAAGCTAGTTAGTATAAACTTTATTGTTGAAACCAAGAATCTGACCCAACGTAATTAATTATAGTATCAGTCTTAGGGTTTTCCTTTATACTGTTAAGTGCACTTATATCTCTGTTATCTGAGGCAAGGGTCTGGGGAAATGGGCATGGTTACCAATGGGAATATAAATTGGTAAAATGTCTGGAAGGGTATGTTGGTAGTATTTATTTAAATTATAAAGGCACTTACCTTTTTAACCAGTATTCTAATTATAGGCATTTGTTCTGCAGATACACTTGCATATATAGAAGCTGAGTTATGTACAGTTGCAGCATTGTGTGTGAGAACAAAATATTTTAAATCACCTGAAAGCAACAAGAAGAAACTTTATCTTGATGAAATGACTAAGCTGCTTTTACCTGGAACTTTAATATATGTGAAGGAAGGCTGTCTTCTATGGTGATAATCCAATTAAGGTAAGAAGGAGATCCAAACCAATAGCTAGAGATTGCATATTGCAGGCACAGCTGGCAGGACTCAAACTGTCCAACACAAGTGGATACTCTGGGATGCAAAACCAAAATATCTGGCTTAGAACAAGCTTTTGTGCAGGCCAGTTATTGAGGCTCCCTTGGACCCCATTTGAGACCACAAAGGGGCAGGGGCACCAGGGTGAGGAAAGACTCTTGGCACCGTGATGACACAGCGTGGAGGGACAGCTATCAGTCATAAGCAGCCCTGCAGATGCTAGCCTCTCTCTGTAGAAGAGCAAAGGGTAAACCAGCTCACACAAGCACACATATGAATCCCTGCTGGGATCATGGGGACTCAGGTAGGGGTTTGCCACTCTGCTCTGGTGCCTCCCATAGCAAAGAGGCTGTCTAGGAGGCAGGGGCTCTAGGAGACGCTATTCATGTTGTATTCCACGTCAATGGCGCCCCCTGGAGAGAAGACAATTTGGATGTTGCCCATTGGAAATAGTGTGTGTCAACCCTGCAGGAAAAGTGCCCTCATTCAAAGGTGAGAAGTAACTAAAAGAGAAACAGCACACAAATCTTTAGGAAAATACAAGAAGGAGAAAGGAGGAAATCAATAGGGAAACAACTGGCAGGTAAAGAATACAGAAACATCTTGCCTCAAAACTGGTGAAAATCATGACCAAATACAGTAGTCCCCTGCCCTTATCCACAGAGGATACGTTCCAAGACCCCCAGTGGATGCCCAAAACCACATTTAGTACCAAACCCTATATACTATGTTTTTTTCCTATATGTGCTTTTTTTTTTTTTTTTCCTGAGGCAGAGTCTCACTTTGTTGCCCAGGCTGGAGTGCAGTGGCGTGAACTCTGCTCACTGTAACCTCCACTTCCTGGGTTCAAGCCATTCTCCTGCCTCATCCTCCCAAGTAGCTGGGACTACAGGCATGCACCACCATGCCCGGCTAATATTTGTACTTTTAGTAGAGAGGGGGTTTCACCGTGTTGGTCAGGCTGGTCTTAAACACCTGGGCTCAAGTGATTCACTCGCCTCAGCCTCCCAAAGTGCTGGGATTACAGGTGTGAGCCACCGTGCCTGGCCCCCTATATGTGCATGTCTATTTGATAAAGTTTAATTTCTAAATTAGGCACAGTAAGGCTGGGCTCAGTGGCTCACACCTGTAATCCCAGCACTTTGGGAGGTTAAGGCAGGAGGATCACTCAAGCTCAGGAGTTCCAGAGTAGCCTGGGAAACATAGCAAAACTTTGCCTCTACAAAAAGTAATATTAGTCAGCATTGTGGTGCATGCGTGTAGTCCAAGCTGCTTGGGAGGCTGAGATGGGAGAATCACTTAAGCCCAGGAGGTTGAGGCTGCAGTAAGCCATCATGGAGCCTCTGCACTCCAGCTTAGGTGACAGAATAAGACCCCATCTCAAAAAATAATTATCATCATGAAAAATTAGGCACAGTAAGAAATTAATGACAATAACTACTAATAAAATAGGACAAATTAAATAAAGTAATATAATGAAAGTTATGTGAATATGATTTCTCTCTCTGCATTGCACCTATTTTTGGACCCTGGTAACTGAAATTGAGAAAAGTAAAACTGTGAGACTACCATAAATCTCCATAAACTCTAGGAACTAAAGTAAAAATAATCTCTATATAACAAGCACTCAAAGCAGAGATACAAGAGTTCAAGGAAAAAAATGACAAAGCAACTGAAGATGAAAAATGAGCTGGCACTAATGTTTTCTTTGAGGTAGAATTACATAAAGTCTTAGATGTACAGTCTGATGGATTTTTTTTTTCAAGTAACCATACCCATGTAACTACCACTCTGCTACAGATATGGAACATTCTCCGCATCCAAGAAGACTCCTTCCTGCCCCCTTCCAGTCAAAAGTAATTGCTGTTTTGATCTCTATCATCCACCATAAATTAGTTTTGCCTATTGTTGAATGTCCTATAAATGAAAACATATAGTAGATGTTCTTCTATGTCCAGGTTCTTTCACTTTACCTTATGCCTGTGACAGTCATCTACATAGTTGTGGATAGCAGTAGTTCATTCTTTTTCAATATTGTGTGGTATTCCATTATATGACTATGCCACAATATATTAATGCATGAATTTTCGAGTTGTTTCCGTTTGTGTTATGAATAAAGCTGCAATGAACATCCTTGTGCATGTCTTTTGGTGAATATAAGCATTCATTTTCATTAGGAATATACAAAGGAGTGGAATTTTTAGGTCATAGAGTATATGTATATTTCACTTTGGCACCATTAAGTTTTCCAACGTGGCTGTACCAATTTAAATCAGGAACACATGCTCCATATCTTTGCCTCCATTTGGTTTTCCTTTTAGTTTTAGCCATTCTGGGAACAGCACCTCATTGGTTTTTTCACTTACATTTCCCTGACACTTCGAACCTTTTCATGTGTTTATTTATTGTGAGGTACCAGTTCAAGTCTTAGCCCAGTTTTTATTGGTTTGTCTTGCTTACTGATATGGAGTTCATTATATATTCTGGACAGGAGTCTTTCATCAGATATGTAAATACAAATATTTTATTCCCATCTGTGTCTTGCCTTTCACTCAAATGATGTCTTTTGATGCAAAGAAGTTTTTAATTTTAATCAGGTCCAACATCAATATTCTATTTTATATTTGGTAATTTGTGCTCCCTATTTAAGAAGTCGTTGCTTACCTCAAAGTCATGAAAATAGTCTCCCACTTTCACATTTACTTTTATGATCCATTTCAAATTAATGTTGATGTATGGAGGGATGCAGGAGTCAAGGTCCATTTCTTTTCTATATGGGTAGCCAGTTAACCTAGCACCATTATTGAAAATAACACCTAAGCCAGGCATGGTATTGTGTGTGCCCCAGCCACTTCAGAGGCTGATGTAGGAGGATGTGAGCCCAGGACTTTAGAGCCAGCTTGGGCAACAAAGTAGAAACCCATTTCTTAAATTTATCTGTTTTTTTTTTTTTTTGTGAGACAGTCTTGTTCTGTCACCCAGGATGGAGTGCAGCGGCATGATCTCAGCTCACTGCAACCCCTGCCTCCTGGCTTAAAGTGATTCTCATGTCTCAGCCTCCCAAGTAGCTGGCAGTATAGGTGCATGCCACCACACCCAGCTAATTTTTGTATTTTTAGTAGAGACGGGGGTTTCACCATGTTGGCCAGGCTGGTCTTGAACTCCTGATCTCAAGTGATCTGCCTGCTTTGGCCTCCCAAAGTGCTGGGATTACAGGCGTGAGCCACTGCACCTGGCCACTGCGCCCGGCCGAGCCCAATCTCTTAAATTAAAAAAAAAAAAAAAGAAAATAACATCTTTTCCCACTAAATTTCATTGGAATCTTGTTATAAATCAGGAGTCTGTACCTGTGTGTGTCCCTTTAGCCCAGAGAGTGGACCAGCTCGGTAAGTACTTTCTTGTCTTGCCACTTCTCCTCTCCTTCCTACCATGTCCTTTCTGTCCTAGCTCCTGGTAAAAGTTCCTAACAGACAGCATCTAGCTGGGAGGGAGTCTGGGGAAGGGAGGGTGACAGTGAAAAAAAGAGCAGCAGTTGACCCCTCCCACCTTTCCTGGATCACAGCCTCTCACCTGCAACAGGCCCCAGCTGAAGGAAGGGCGAAGGTGAATCACTATGCTCGGCCTGTGAATGTGAACTAAAGGGATTGTAAGGATTTTTATTACCCAGGAGTGACCAGAGATGTGATGAAAATGCTTGAGTTTTCATCCAGAAGGGAAGGCAAGGGCTTCCTGCACTGAACAGCTTTAAAGGGAAAGTAGGAGATAAAAATAAAGTTGCTTCTATGGCCACAAAACACAAGTCCTGCCTGTTCAATGAGCCAGTTACACACAAAAAACCAGTTAAGCCAGAGTAAATTCAAAGACCTGAATTTAGTCTGTGAATTTTTTCATGATTTTTCATTCTAATTATTGCTTAATTATTGGGATGATTAATAGACATTACATGTACAGACTGATCAAGGTGTGTGTAGAAATCAAGGAATAAAAAGGCTCTAAATATGTATGACTTCTATCAATTATCCATGCTTGAAGAAAGTCATATATAATGAGAGTATAGGAAATGTTTAATATCAAGAATAGGCTAATTAAAATCAATGCCAGTGATCACTACTCACCTGGTTCAAGCTCATAAAGGATGACTTAATTACATCCTTACACCCATTATTCCATATATAAGGAGGACTGAGTCACTCTTCTGTATTTCCACCCCATCCCCAGCACCTCTCCTAGGTATTCTGTATGTAACTTTATTTACCCAAGTAAACCAACTAAAATTTTCTATATTATATATATTATGTTATATTATATATTATATTAATATATTATATATTATATATTATGTTATATAATATATTAAATATAATATATCATATATAAATATATATTATAATATAATATATATTGTAATATAATATATATTTATAATATATATTGTAATATAATATATATATTTATAATATATATTGTAATATAAAATATATATTTATAATATATATTGTAATATAAAAATATATATTTATAATATAATATATATATTTATAATATATATTGTAATATAATATAAATTATAATATATAATATATAATAATATATATTATAATATAAATATATATATAATATAATATATATTATAATATATATAATATATAAATTATAATATAATATATATTATAATATATATTATATTATAATATATAATAATATAATATATATTATAATATAATATATTATAATATAAATATATATTATAATATAATATATATTATAATATATAAATATATAATATAATATATATTATAATATATAAATATATAATATAATATATATTATAATATATAAATATATATTATAATATATAAATATATATTATAATATATAAATATATATATATATATTTTTGAGATGGAGTTTCACTCTTATTGCCCAGGTTGGACTGAAATGGCATGATCTCAGCTCACTGCAACCTCTGCCTCCCGAGTTCAAGCGATTCTCCTGCCTCAGCCTCCTGAGTAGCTGGGATTACAGGCATGTGCCACCTTGCCCGGCTAATTTTGTATTTTTAGTAGAGACAGGGCTTCTGCATGTTGGTCAGGCTGGTCTCGAATTCCCGACCTCAGGTGATCCACCCACCTCGGCCTCCCAAAGTGCTGGGATTACAGGTTTGAGCCACCACCCCCGGCCCAAATAACATATTTTTTTACTTCTCCATGTCATGCACAGAAAAGATAATGTTTTTCTTTTTTTTTTTTTTTGAAATGGAGTCTCGTTCTGTCGCCAGGCTGGAGTGCAGTGGCAGTCTCGGCTCACTGCAACCCCCACCTCCTGGATTCAAGCAATTCTTCTGTCTCAGCCTCCCAAGTAGCTGGGATTACAGGCGTCTGCCACCACACCCAGCTAAGTTTTGTACTTTTAGTAGAGACAGGATTTCACCATGTTGGTCAGGCTGGTCTCGAACTCCTGACCTCAGGTGATCCTACCACCTCAGCCTCCCAAAGTGCTGGGATTACAGGTGTGAGCCACCATGCCTGGCCATAATGTTTTATTTTCTTAAGTCCCAACTCTTCTCCTTTACATTTTTAGATGTAGATATCACTGTTGAATATCACGTGTGCATTTTGAAGATAGATCACCCAAACTGTGATCTTATTATTTTAATGTGATGTAATAATCTTGCAAAGTTATGGCAGGAAGGAAGCACATAGAGATGACTTTTCAACTTTCCATGTGCCTGCAATGAACCAGGGGATATTTGGACATTTTAATCAGAGAGACCCAATTGGTTATATTACCTATAATAAACTTGTAATAATAACATTAACTTGTAATCCTCAAACGTTATCCAAAAACTACATTGTTGATGCACAGATTCATTCCTTTGTTTCAGAACAATAGTGTACACTTTTTTTTTTGCAAAGCATGACAACCTTCTAAGCCAAATCTCAGTTTTGAAGTGGAACTTTGCATATGCAGTGTTCTCCCAATGGTTGAAAGGTTTATGCATGAGTTGTGGAGGGAATACAATTCTTCTTGGATGTTTCTATGAACATCAAGTTTCCCAAATTTTTGCAATTTATATCACAGACAAGGGCAAATTTCCCAATTTATTGGGAGTCCTTACAAATGAAGACCAATCCACAATAGAAAAATAGGTCAAAAAAAAAAGTATGGAGAGTTTCCAGAAAAGGAAATATAAGCAGATTTTTTTTTTCGTTTTTCCGAGACGGAGTCTCACTCTGTCATCCAGGCTGGAGTGCAGTGGCATGATCTCAGCTCACTGCAACCTCTGCTTTCCGGGTTCAAGCAATCCTCCTGCCTCAGCCTCCCGAGTAGCTGGGATTACAGGCCTGCACCACCATGACCGGCTAGAGTGTATGTGTGTGTGTGTGTGTTTAGTACAGATGGGGTTTCACCATGTTGGCCAGGCTCCACTCCTGACCTTGTGATCCACCTGCCTTGGCCTCCCCAAAGTGCTGGGATTATAGGCATGAGCCACCACGCTCAGCCTTTTTTTTTTTTTTTGATGTGGATTTTCACTCTTGTTGTCCAGGCTGGAGTGCAATGGCATGATCTTGGCTCACTGCAACCTCTGCCTCCCGGGTTCAAGCAATTCTCCTGCCTCAGTCTCCCGAGTAGCTGGGATTACAGGCGTCTGCCACTGTGCCCGGCTAATTTTTTGTATTTTTAGTAGAGACAGGATTTCACCAGGTCGGCCAGGTTAGTCTTGAACTCCTGACCTCAGGTGATCTGCCTGCCTCGGCCTCCCAAAGTGCTGGGATTACAGGCGTGAGCCATCGCTCCCAGCCATAAACAGATTTTATACAAATGAAAAGATGCTCAGCTTTATCCTAAGAGAAATGAAATTGTAAATGATGCAATTCCACTTTTACCTGCAGATTGGTAAGATCAAAAAGTTTTATGACACATCTAAATCGGCAAGACTGCAGAAAAGCAGGTACTCATGCATTGCTGGTGGGAGTGTGAACTGACCGAAATTCTCAAGGGAGCAATTTGCAATGTCCATCAAAATTACAATAGAATATATACAGGCTGGGCTTGGTGGCTCAGCCTGTAATCCTAGCACTTTGGGAGGCCAAAGCAGGTAGATCACTTGAGGTCAGGGGTTCCAGACCACCCTGGTCAACATGGTGAAACCTCGTCTCTACTAAAAATACAAAAATTAGCCAGGCATGGTGGCGCATGCCTCTAATCCCAGCTACTCGGGAGGCTGAGGCAGGAGAATCACTTGAATCCAGGAGGCGGAGGTTGCAGTGAGCCAAGATCGCGCCACTGTGCTCCAGCCTGGGTGACAGAGGGAGACTCTGTCTCTAAAAAAAAAAAATTACAAGCTGAATATACATGTTTGTCAAAGCTTACAGAATTGTACAGTAAAAAATATTTTATTTTGTGTAAACTATATATTTTTTTAATGAAAAAACTAATATTAGTCTCTTCAAAATAAATTCTATATTGACTTTAAAGATAAGGAGAGGATGGCTGGGCGAGGTGGCTGCCACCTGTAATCCTAGCACTTTGGGAGGCTGAGGCGGGAGGATCACAAGGTCAGGAGTTCGAGAGCAGCCTGGCCAACAGAGTTAAACCCCGTCTCTACTAAAGATACAAAAAATAGCCAGGCATGGTGGTGCGTGCCTGTAGTCCCAACTACTTGGGAGGCTGAAGCAGGAGAATTGCTTGAACTCAGGAGGCGGAGGTTGTAGTGAGCTGAGATAGCACCACTGCACTCCAGCCTGGCAACAGAACGAGACTCTGTCTCAAAAAAAAAAAGATAACGAGAGGATGAAGTTGATCTATACTTACTGGTATGCAATAAACTCCAGACATATTAATTAAAAACTCAAGGTGCAGAATAGTATGTGTAGTATATACCTTTTAAGCAAAGGCAAATGATGACATATACTTATTCATATATATATGTTTGTATATGCATATATCTAGAAGTACACACACAAACAGTGGTTACCTCCAGGGAGGGAGCCTGGAAACCAAAGAGTAAGAGGACTTACTTTTTACTGTATGTGTGTGTATATATATATATATATATCTGTGTGTGTGTGTGTGTGTATATATATGTATATGTGTATATATATGTATATGTATATTATATATATATATATACACACACACACACACACACACACTTTTTTTTTTTTTTGAGGCAGTTTCGCTCTTGCTGCCCAGGCTGGAGTGCAATGGCGCGACCTTGGCTCACTGCAATCTCCGCCTCCCAGGTTCAAGCGATTCTCCTGCCTCAGCCTCCCAAGTAGCTGGGATTACAGGCATGCACCACCACCTCGGCTAATTTTGTACTTTTAGTAGAGACAAGGTTTCTCCATGTTGGTCAGGCTGGTCTTGAAATCCCGACCTCAGGTGATCCGCCCACCTCGGCCTCCCAAAGTGCTGAGATTACAGGCGTGAGCCACCGCGCCTGGCCTATATACATACACTTTTATTCTATTTGGATTTTCTTCCCATGGTAGGCATTATTTTTTCGAGTATAATAAAACCTAAGCCTAGCATAATTTCAGCACTTTGGGAGGCCAAGGCAGGTAGATCACCTGAAGTCAGGAGTTCAAGACCAGCCTGGCCAACATGGTGAAACCCTGTCTCTACTAAAAATACAAAATTAGCAGGGCATGATGGCGCACGCCTGTAATCCCAGCTACTTGGGAGTCTGAGGGAGGAGAATCGCTTGAGCCCGGTAGATGGTTGCAGTGAGCCGAGATCGGGCCATTGCATTCCAGCCTCGGCAACAAAGCAAGACTCCATCTTAAATAAAAAATAAAAAAAAAACTAAACTAAAAAAGTGTGTGTTGGGGAGGATATACAAACACATATACCCTTGGCCCAAAAACTTTACGTCTAGACATTTACTGCAAAAATATATTTACCCAAGTGCAGAATGACATATGTACAAGATTGTTTATTGTAGCATTGTTTTCAAGAGCCAAAGATACAAAGCAACTGAAATGTCCATCAACAGACATTAATGAAATCATGCTATTATGAAATTGTGGGATACTCAGACGCTACCAAAAAGAATGAAGAAGCTCTTTATGTACTACATGCAAGTACATCCAAGATATCTTCAGTGAAAAGAGCAAGGCTCAGAAGGTCCATACACCAGTGTTGAGGCAAAGGGGGAATATAATACATTGTTTGCTTAAATATGCATAAAGTCACTCTGGGAGGCTACATCAAAAGCATGAAATGGATTAGCTCTGGGGAAGAGAATTGGGCACCTGGGAAACAGGAGCGGGAAGGAAAGTTTTCACAAACATTTATTTGTACCCTTTGAGCTTTCAGCCATGCGAACAAATTTCCTATTAAAAATAAAACATGGCCAGGCATGGTGGCTCCCATCTGTAATCCTGGTACTTTGGAGACCAAAGTGGGAGGATTACTTGAGGCCAAGAGTTCAAGACCAGCCTGGGCAACATAGGAAGACCCTGCCTCTACAAAATCTAAAAAAAAAAAAAAAAATTAGGCCAGGCCCAGTGGCTCATGCCTATAATCCCAACACTGTGGGAGGCTGAGGCGGGCGATCATTTGAGGTCAGGAGTTCGAGACCAGCCTAACCAACATGATGAAAACTCATCTCTACTAAAAATACAAAAAAATTAGCTGGACGTGGTGGTGTATGCCTGTAATCCCAGCAACTCGGGAGGCTGAGACAGGAGAATCACTTGAACCCAGGAGGCGGAGGTTGCAGTGAGCCAAGATTGTGCCACTGCACTCCAGCCTGGGCGACAGAGCGAGAGACTCTGTCTCAAAAACAAAAACAAAAAAATTAGCTGACTGTATGGCACACACCTGCAGTCCCAGCTACTTGAGAGATTGAGGCAGGAGGATTGTTTGAGCATAGGAGTTAGAGCAATGAGCTACAATTGTGCTACTGCACTCCAGCCTGTGTGACAGAATGAGATCCTGTCTCTTGAATAAGTAAATAAATAAATAAAACAGACCACCAGGTTTCCCTGATGTAGTACCACTGTGATACAAGACACAGGTGTTCACTTACGATAATAATCTTTCTTTAGCATAATCAACGTACTATTTACCACCATAAAGAAGCAGAGTTTGACTTACAGTTTCAATTGTGCATGAAAATAAATGACCTGTTTAAGGGGATAAACAGATGTATAAACTGATTGGCCACCTGTGTTACAATGGCATCATCATGGCCAGTCACAAAAGATTTCTCACCCTTTGACAAGAATGTGGACCCCTGGGGTGGAGTGTGGCAAAGGTCACTGTGGAGAAGGCCAGAGGCACTGACTTAGGAACAAAGCCTTTCTGAAATGGACAATGTCTTCACAGTGTCCTCCAATTCCAGGCACAAATGGCCCTCAGCCAAGCCCAGAGATTGCAGTCACACAGCCAGGTCAATCTATCGTGCCCGTCTTAGTCCATTTTGTGCTGCTATAAGGGAATACCAGCGACTAGGCAACTTATAAAGAAAAGAAATTTATTCTTCACAGTTCTGAAGGCTAGGAAGTCCAATATCAAGGTGTCAGCATCTTGCAAGGGCCTTCTTGCTGAGTCATCCCATGACAGAAGGTGAGAGGGAAAGAGAAAGATGCTTAAACAAAGCAGCAAATTTACTTGATTATGTAACTGAAAAGTCTGGAAATAGGGCTTGCTGCTATCTTGGCTTAAAGGTTGAAATGTATCACGAGGGTCTGCTTCTCTCTCTCTCTCCCTCTCTCTCTCTCACCTCTGTTCTCAGACTGGCTCCCACTGAAGATGTCAAGATGGCTGCAGCAACTTTGGGCCTCACATTCCCTCAGGTAAAAATCTAGCAGGACAGAGAAAGAATCTTTCCCTCAGAAGTCCCCAGAAAAATGACTGATGAATGGAAGCCTCATTCATAGCCAATGAGAAGAAATGATACTTTTGCTGGAAATGCAAGCTTTGGATTGATTTAGATCAGAAGCTCTGTGCCTGAGCTAAGGGTGAAGCCCCGGCCAAAGCAGCCCCACTTGGGAGGCAGAGGCATGGATTGCCACAAAAGGGTGGCTGCCTGGTGGGCAGTAGAGAGAACAGCTGTCAGTAAACAGCTGTAGCCTAAGATAATTGGCGTGCAACAGATATCCAGTAGGAATGAGGATCTGCCAAGAACAAGAAGTACACTGAAAGAAAGAGGATAGAATATAGATGTTTATACCTATCACTTGACATTAGTGTTTCAAATTAAAGAAGTCAATATTTCTAAACTTGATATACAATTTCAAAAAGAAAGAATAATTAATGTTTCTGGACGATATGCAATTTCAAAAAGAAAGAATAATTGCTTTATTCTTTGAAATTAAAAAAACTTCATAAAATTAGCTGTAAAAAGAAAACTTTATCTTGGGAATTACTGCAGATATGATTACTCTCATCTAAAAGCATGAAGAAATAAAAGACAGTGATGGGAATCAGCTACTGACAGTTCTAGATGGAATGTCTAATTTGAAAATGATTTCTTCTTTTCCATGTAAGGCTCTTCCATAATATGTAAATTGGAGGTGATTCGTACAACTCACGTCGTGGTAAAATAATAGCTAGAGTAAGAAGTTTGGGTTAGAAGTAGAATTACTTTTAAAAATAGTTCTACTGTCAGTTTCTATACTCATCAAACTTTTAATGGCAAGACATTTAGTACAAGAATTCTTCTAAATCACTGCAGAGAATTAATAATTACCACAAGAAGAAAAACAGTTTCTGAAGAGGTGACGTCCTGCCCTTAGACAAAGGGTCTGGTGGATTTAGCATATAATCTCTCCTGAGTGTCTCTGGCAGGCACTATTGGCAGCCTACTCAATGGCTATACTTCACTTCTTTCTCACCTAAAAAAATCAAGTACATAAATAAAAGCCCTATTCTGACCAGGCAACCATGTGCCCAGCTTTAGGTTCTAAGTAAATCGTGGTTCTCTAACTTTTCTTTTGTCAGTCTAGCGATGGACATGTAATTAAATTCTGACAGAAGAAGTCTCCTGGGGGGCCCAGTTTAAATTCTTGCTTAGGGGGACTTGAGAAAGCCCTTTTGCTCCAGCCTCCTTCCTGCCTTCTTAAATGTGGCCCTCTGAGGATATAATGTTTAGAGCAGCTGCTCCATCTTGTGGTCAGAAGAGGAAAGCCATGGAAACCTCAAATTTGTGCCTAACACATCTACTCCAGGGATTCCAGACGTTTTGCTAAGTGGCATATTATGGGTCACATGGGTTGAGCCACTTTGAATTGGATATTCTGTTGATTTCAACCAAAGTCATTCCTACATGATATAGCTCCTCCTCAAATTTCCGATCTGTGGTTGCCATACTAAATACCACATATTGGCTGGGCGTGGTGGCTCACGCTGTAATCCCAGCACTTTGGGAGGCTGAAACAGGCGGATCACTTGAGGTCAGGAGCTCGAGACCAGCCTGGCCAACATGGTGAAACCCCATCTCTACGAAAAATACAAAAATAGCTGAGGCAAGAGCATCACCTGAACCCGGGAGATGGAGGTTGCCGTGAGCCGAGATTGTGCCACTGCACTCCAGCCTGGGCGACAGAGTTTCAAAAGACAGAGTATATAAAAATACCACATACTAATTTTGGAGGTTATATATTTGCCTTGCAAAGGCTAAAATAAAGGACCAACTTTCAAAAAACCATCCTTAAAGAACAACTATTTCTTAAACTATCCTATTCGTTTAAATTTGGGCTAGCGGTTTTTTTTTAAACAAAAATATCAAGCCAGATTCTTTTAATCATTTCCTTCAGAAAGCCGTTAAATAAATGTATTAGTAAGATAACATCCTCGCACAGCTGACACCTGTCCTCCTGCTTCAACTATGACAATCTGTGAAATCTGAGGAGGAAAGTGTTGAGCTCATGATAAAGAAGAGCTTTCACTGGAAGCCATGCAAAGACACAACAGGCTGCTCCTGAGGGCAGAGGGAGGCCTCACCATGAGAGGCATCTAGGCATGAACAGCCCGAAAGGACTTTGTGAAGGAAGCTTAAATAACACATAAAATCCAACCAGGTCATCTTTAAGCTTCTCCTCAACTCTGAAGTTCAAGGATTGCATGTTCTTGTATCTCAATTCTTCAAACTGGAAAACAAACATCTTTTGTGCTTAATTCTGCAACTCTGTTTTTTAGGGGTTTTTTTTTGGTTTCTTTTGTTTGTTTTTTTGGGGGGGAGGGGGACTGAATCTCGCTCTGTCACCCAGGCTGGAGTGCTGTGGCGCGATCTTGGCTCACTGCAACCTCTGCCTCCTAGGTTCCAGCGATTCTCCTGTCTCAGCCTCATGAGTGGCTGGGATTACAGGCGTGCCCCACCACACCCAGCTAATTTTTGTTTGTTTGTTTAGTAGAGACGGAGTTTCACCATATCGGCCAGGCTAGTCTTGAACTCCTGACCTCAAGTGATCTGCCTGCCTCGGGCTCCCAAAGTGCTGGGATTACAGGCATGAGCCACTGTGCCCAGCCTGCAAAACTGTTTTTAATGCCATCTACTCTCCTTGAACATTTGATATATACACATTTTTTTTGCCTTCTAACTCAGGGGTACCTAACCCCCAGGCCATGGACCAGTAAGTGGCATATTATGGATCATATGGGTTGAGCCACTTTTAGTTGGATATTCTGTTGCTTTCAACCAAAGTCATTCCTACATGATGTAGCTCCTCCTCAAATTTCTGATCTGTGGTTGCCATATGAAATACCACATGCTAACTTTGGAGGCTATATATTTGCCTGACAAAGCCTAAAACAAAGGACCAACTTTCAAAAATCCAACCTTGAAGATGGATTTGCCATCTCTGCCTCCTGTCAGATCAGTGGTGGCATTAGATTCTCATAGGAGCACAAACCCTTATTGTGATCTGCACAAGCAAGGGATCTAGGTTGCGCTCCTTATGGGAATCTAACGCCTGACGATCTGAGGTGTAACAGTTTCATCCGGAAACTACCCCCACCCTCCCATCCCCATTCCGTGGAAAAACTGTCTTCCACAAACTGGACTCAGGTGCCAAAAAGGTTCCGGACCGGCCGGGCGTGGTGGCTCATGCCTGTAATCCCAGCACTTTGGGAGGCCGAGGCGGGCGGATCGCGAGGTCAGAAAATTGAGACGATCCTGGCTAACATGGTGAAACCCTGTCTCTACTAAAAATACAAAAAAATTAGCTGGGTGTGGTGGCAGATGCCTGTAGCCCCAGCTACTCAGGAGGCTGAGGCAGGAGAATGGCGTGAACCCAGGAGGCGGAGCTTGCAGTCAGCCCGAGCCGAGACAGTGCCACTGCACTCCAGCCTGGGCAACACAGCGAGACTCCGTCTCAAAAAAAAAAAAAAAAAAAAAAAAAAAAAGTTCAGGACTGCTGTTCTAATTGCCTACTCCCCATCTTTAATATCATGTAACCCAAATTCTATACCCCACCTTTGTACTAAAAGCATTCTTACTTTACCAATGACTTTGAAGATTCAAGCCAACTCAACACATTTTTCATCATCTTTATCCTCCTTGAACTCTCTGCTACATCTAAGCCTGTTTTCCAACTTCTGCTTGAAACTCTCTCCTTCCTTCAGTGACATTCTAGACACTTGAGTTTGTGTTTTGTTTTGATTGTTTTTCTTAGTCTTTATCAAGATACAACCGAAGCTGGATGCAGTGGCTTATGCCTGTAATCCCAGCACTTTGGGGGGGCTGAAGTAGGAAGATCCCTGGAGCCCAAGAGTTTGAGACTAGCCTAGGCAACACAGCGAGACTCCATCTCTACAAGTTTGTTTGTTTTTTTTTAAGTAGCTGGGCCTGGTGGTGCACACCTATGGTCCCAGCTTCCTGGGAGGCTGAGGTGGGAGCATCGCTTGAGCCCATGAGGTCGAGGCAGCATGTGAGCCATGATCACACCACTGCACTCTAGCCTGGGCTACAGAGTGAGACCCGTCTCAAAAACAAAAAATTAATTAAATTAAAATAAAAGGTATAACTGAATCATCTGGGGAACATTTAAAAATTACACACATCTGGCTGGGCATGGTGGCTCATGCCTGTAATCCTAGCACTTTGGGAGGCTGAGGTGGGAGGATCACCTGAGGTCAGGAGTCCGAGACCAGCCTGACCAACATGGTAAAACCCCATCACTATTAAAAATACAAAAACTGGCCAGGCACAGTGGCCTGTAACCCCAACACTTTGGGAGGCCGAGGCGGGTGGATCACGAGGTCAGGAGTTTGAGACCAGCCTGACCAACATGCTGAAACCCCGTCTCTACTAAAAACAAAAAAAATTAGCTGGGCATGGTGGTGTGCGCCTGTAATCCCAGCTGCTCAGAAGGCTGAGGCAGGAGAATCTCCTGAACCCGGGAGGCGGAGGATGTAGTGAGCAGAGATCAAGCCACTGCACTCCAGCCTGGGCGACAGAGCAAGACTCTGTCTCAAAAACAAACAAAACAAAACAAAAATTACACACATCTAAGTTCCAATCCAAGAATTCTGATTCAGTGCATCAAGTGTGGGGTGCCTTTGGCCAAACACTATGTTTTCAGGGTATACATTTCTCCTAATCCCTTCTTCCATCAATTCTGCTTTGTTAACAGGGAAAAAGTCGGTCATGGCTATTGGTTAGGCTGCCAAGATCTGTTCAATATTATACGGTTAAATTTGGATTTTTAAACTAATGAGGAAAAAATACTTGTGTTATTAAAGAGTGACCAGAGGAACTTTCTTCTCAAGTAGGAAAAAAAAATCCACTAACTATAAAGAAAATGATAAATTAAGCCACATTAAAATTAATAACTTTGGCTTGGCCCGGTGGCTCACGCCTGTAATCTCAGCCCTTTGGGAGGCCTAGGCAGGCAGATCACGAGGTTAGGAAATGGACACCATCCTGGCTAACACGGTGAGACCCCGTCTCTACTAAAAATACAAAATAAAATTAGCCAGGCATGGTGGCACTTGCCTGTAATCCCAGCTACTTGGGAGGCTGAGGTAGGAAAATTGCTTGAACCCGGGAGGTGGAGGTTGCAGTGAGCCAAGATCGCATCACTGCACTCCAGCCTGGGCGACAGAGCAAGACTCCATCTCAAAAAAAAATTAATTAATTAAATTAATAACTTCTGTCCATCACAAAACACCATGAAGAAGGTAGAAAGGTAAGCCATGGAATGGAAAATTATAGTTATATCAAATATTCTTGAGAAAGAACTTTAAAGAACTCTTACAAATTAATTTTAATTATTTGTATTTATTTATTTATTTTTGAGACAGGGTCTCACTCTATCGCCCAGGCTGGAGTGCAGTGGCTTGGTCTCAGCTCACTAACCTCCGCCTCCTGGGTTCAAGCAATTCTCCCACCTCAGCCTCCCAAGTAGCTGGAATCACAGGCATATGCCACCACACAGGCTGGGCGCGGTGGCTCACACCTGTAATCCTACCACTTTGGGAGGCCAAGGCAGGCAGATCATTTGAGGTCAGGAGTTTGAGACCAGCCTGGCCAAAATGGCGAAACCCCATCTCTGCTAAAAATACAAAAATTAGGCCCGGCGTGGTGACTCACATCTCTAATCCCAGCATTTTGGGAGGCCAAGGGGGGTGGATCACAAGGTCAGTTCAAGACCAGCCTGGCCAAGATGGTGAAACCCCGTCTCTAGTAAAAATACAAAAAATTAGCTGGCCATGGTGGCGGGGGCCTGTAATCCCAGCTACTCAGGAGGCTGAAGCAGAGAATTGCTTGAACCCAGGAGGCGGAGGTTGCAGTGAGCCGAGATTGCACCACTGCACTCCAGCCTGGGCGACAGACCGAGACTCTATCTCAAAAACAAACAAACGACAATTAGCCAGGTGTGGTGTCATGCACCTGTAGTCCCAGCTACTCGGGAGGCTGAGGCAGGAGAATCGCTTGAACCCAGGAGGTGGAGATTACAGTGAGCTGAGATGGTACCACTGCACTCCAGCCTGGGTGACAGAGCAAGACTCTGTCTCAAGAAAAAGAAAAAATTATGATTCTGCTGGGTATGGTGACATGTACCTATAGTACCAGCTATTCAGGAGGCTGAACAGGAGAATCACTTGAATCCAGGAGTTTGAGTCCAGCCTGGGCAACATAGTGAGACTCTGTCTCTAAACAAATAAATAAATAATTCCCTTGCCATCAACATTTTTAAACAAGAGATGTCTTCCCTGTGTGAATATTAAACTTTTAAATTAGTATGAATGTTAGATATTATAAACTATGTTTTACGTAAGTGGGGGAAGTTTAAAAAGCGGCTACTGTTAAGAGAGGGCATTGTTAATGCATTAACCAGGAATAGACTACGTTATGTTACAATAACAATCCCCCAATTGTATTGCTTTAACCTATTTATTTTCCACTCACACAAAGTTGGCTGCAGGTACTGTGGTCCTTCCAGACAGCTCCCTTCCAAGCATGAGTCACATCCAGGCCAGTTCGTTCCCTCTTCTGGTTATGCCATCTCCACATTTGGCCTCGGCTGTCATTGCGGCAAGAAAAGAGAGAGGAATCAAGAATGATAAAGTGCTCTTCTCTTTGTGCTTTGTCCCAGAAGTGACACATGTCATTTCCACTCACGGCTCATTTGTCAAAACGAGTCGCATAGGCCCTCCTAACTGCAAGGGAGCTGGGGAGTCTTGGGAGCACATGGATATTCAATGACTAATAAATTACAATAAATTATATCCCTCCAGCTGTAATTGAACTTACAATGAACTCCTCGAAGTTTTTCAACTAAAAGTTATTTCCAAAACAATATAAAACCATGGTGTGATCGCCAGTATTTGAAGAAGCAGACCCTCTGCTCTCTCCCCGCTACAGCAGTTAATTTTTTAAGAAGTTCTGATACCTTCAAAACATAAAACACAGCATGGGACTTTTCTTCAACAGCTTCCTTACATTTAAAAGGAAAGAATTGGATTTAATGATTTCTAACGTCACTGAAGAGCCCTTTAAATTACTGTTCAACTACCAAAAACAGTCGTTTTTTAAGTAGAGCCATTTTTTTCAGGATTCTGGGTTTTTAAACCCAAACTGTATTTATGCACTAGAAGTTCCAGTCTCTTGAAAAAAACATTTTATAAGTAAGTTGCAGATGTGGGCAAATTTTATGCATCTGCTTTATATCACATAGAATTTCTCAAACTCCTGGCCTCAAATGATCCTCTTGCTTCAGCCTTCCAAAGAATTCCAGGTGTGTCCGGAATTGGTGGGTTCTTGGTCTCACTGACTTCAAGAATGAATCCGCGGACCCTCACGGTTGAGTGTTACAGTTCTTAAAGATAGTGTGTCTGGAATTTGTTCCTTCCGATGTTTGAACATGTCCAGAGTTTTTTCCTTCTGGCAGGCTCCTGGTCTCACTAGCTTCAGGAGTGAAACTGCAGACCTCCGCAGTGAGTGTTACAGCTCTTTAAAGCACCACGGACCCAACTACTTAGCAGCAGCAAAATTTATTGCAAAGAGCAAAGGAACAAAACCTCCACAAAAGACAAGGTAACCCAACTAGGTTGCCTTGCCGGTTCCAGCAGCCTGCTTTTATTCCCTTATTTGGCTGCACCCACATCCTGTTGATTGGTCCATTTTACAGAGAGCTGATTGGCCCATTTTACAGAGAGCTGATTGGTCCGTTTTGACAGAGTACTGATTGGTCTGTTTATAATCCCTGAGCTAGACACAGAGTGCTGATTGGTGCATTTACAATCCTCTAGCTAGACATAAAAGTTCTCCAAGACCCCCACCTCACTCAGGAGCCCAGCTGGCTTCCCCTAGTGGATCTCTCATCAGGGCCACCGGTGGAGCTGCCTGCCAGTCCTGCCACCTGCGCACACTCCTCAGCCCCCTGGGTGGTGGATGGCACCAAACGCTGTGGAGCAGGGGGTGGTGCCCCCCGGGAAAGCTCGGGCCGCGCGGGAGCCCACGGTGGCGTGTGGGGGGGTGGTGAAGGGAGGCCTGGGGGCGGTGGTGGAGGGAGGCCTGGGGGGTGGTGGAGTGGTGGAGGGGGGGTGAGGGGGCTGGGGGGAGGGCGGGCGGGGGGAGGCGAGACGGGGGGGGGGCGAGCGCGGGGGGCGGGGGGCGAGGCGCGGGGGAAAGGCGGGCGGGGGGCGAGGCGCGGGCAGAGCGGACTACGGATTCTGAGCCCTGCCCTGCGGGGAGGCGGCTGAGGCCTGGCGAGAATTCAAGTGGGATGCGGGCAGGCCGGCAGTGCTGGGGGACCTGGCTCACCCTCCGCAGCTGCTGGCTCGGGTGCTAAGCCCCTCACTCCCCGGCGCTGGCGGCCCTGGCCGGCGGCTCAGAGTGCGGAGTCCGCTGAGCCCATGCCCACCGGGAACTCATGCTGGCCTGCGAGCGCGCACACAGCCGCCGTTCTCGCCCGCGCCTCTCCCTCCGCACCTCCCCGCAAGCAGAGGGAGCCCGCTCCGGCCTCGACCAGCCCAGAGAAGGGTCCCCACAGTGCAGCGGCAGGCTGAAGGGCTCCTCAAGCGCAGCCAGAGTGGACACCAAGGCCAAGGAGGCACTGAGAGCGAGCAAGGGCTGCTAGTACATTGTCACCTCTCACAGGCATGGGCCACCACGCCCAGCCCCATCACACAATATTTCTATCCCAGGATGTTTATTTTGTAGGCAACATAAGTTAAAGAATGGAAGCACTGTTCCTTCGGTACAAGGTCAGGGTGTGAGCTCAGTTTATTTACAAATTAACGTGTGCTTACATCATTAAAGCTTTGCTCTAAACCTGTAACTTAGTGTGAGTTCTAGAGAATTTTGGTAAATTTGTTAGTAATGTTTTCTGTGTTCTGTTTATTGGCAAGAGATTGAGGGATAAGTGGTAATAATCTCTAACCTTGTGGTTGCAAAATTATATCCTACAAGGTCTAACTGGGTAACATAAATGATGTGGGAGTTGTGGAGATCATCAAGAATAGAAAGAGCTGGCCAGGCTCGGTGGCTCGCACCTGTAATCCCGCACTTTAAGAGGCCAAGGCAGGCGGATCACTTGAGGTCAGGAGTTTGAGACCACCCCGGACAACATGGCGAAACCCCATCTCTATTAAAAATACAAAAAGTAGCCAGGCGTGGTAGCGCCTAGCTACTCGGGAGGCTGAGGCGGGAGAGTTTCTTGAAGCCAGGAGGCGGAGGCTGCAGTGAGCCGAGACTGTGCCACTACACTTCAGCCTGGGCAAAAGAGCAAGACTCTGTCTCAAAACAAACAAAAAAATCAGATCATGTCTTTTGCAGCAACATGGATGAAGCTGCAGTGGAGGCCATAAGCAAACTAAGGCAAGAACAGAAAACCAAACACCACATGTTCTCACTCAGACGTGGGAGCAAAACACTGAGTACACGCGGACACATAGAGGGGAACAACAGACACTGGGGCCTGCTAGAAGGGTGGAGGGTGGGAAGAGGATGAGGACTGAAAAACTACCTATCTGTTGTATGGTTATTACCCGGGTGACAAAGTCTGTACACCAAACCCCCCGTTACATACAATTTACCTACATAACAAACCTGCACGTGGACCCTTGAACCTAAAAGTTTTTTTTTTAATTAAAAAAAGAAAAGGTAGGAGAGAGGGGAGGGGTGGTTAAGAATGAAGTGAGAAAAGTGAAGAAGGGAAGGGGGATGACAGCTGAGAATGGAAGTGACAAGGGTGTGTTGGGGAGGTAAAAAGCCTCTAGCTTTCCTCCTACCCTTTCCTTCCCACTTTCAGCCAAGTAATTTCTCCCTTATGCTCAATGAGAGAGAGAAACTAGGGAAGCGAAGGCTGTTGGCTAGATGAAAGTGAAAATTAAAACAGAAACAAGGCTCTTTGAGAAGTCAAGGACTGAAAATAAAAGGGGCAAAGATTAAAAACAATAGTAATAGTATCTAGGAGCACTTACCACATAGCAGGCAATATTCTAAGAGTTTCCCATATACATGTGCTCGTTTAATCCTCACAACCACTTGTTTAGTAAGGAATTTGACCTCCAAAGTGAGGTCTGGCTTTTGTCTTAGTTCAGGGGGGTCATTTCTAGACCCTTGAGATTTTTTGTTTTGTTTTTTGTTTTTGAGACAGGGTCTTACTCTGTTGCCCAGGTTGGGAATGCAGTGGTGTGATCTCAGCTCACTGCAACCTCCACCTGCCAGGTTCAAACGATCCTCCCACTTCACCCTCCCAAGTAGCTGGGACTACATGTCATGCCACCACGCTCAGCTAATGTTGGTATTTTTTTGTACAGACAGGGTTTCGCTGTGTCACCTGGGCTAGTCTCAAACTCTTGGACTCAAGCGATCTGCCCGCCTCGGCCTCCCAAAGTGCTGGGATTACCGGCATGAGCCACTGCACCTGGCCAACTCTTTGAGATTTTTTTTTTTTCCAGGTGTGGGAATGTTTTTGTTATTCATGACAAGCACCTTGGACCACACCTGATAGTTATCAGTAACAAGGCCGTTACAAGATAGTTTATGTTAACAAGATGATTCAAGGTGGGGCTGGCCACGAGAGAAGACCAAGTGATTAGAAGACTGGGGCTTTCTCGTCTGGGAAGTGAGGAGCGTCTCTCCTCGGCCGCCACCCCGTCTGGGAAGTGAGGAGCGCCTCTGCCCGGCCACTGTGCAACCTTCCAAGTGCGAAGTGACAGCCTTGCGTGTGATCTTTTCTGTCTTCCCCAAGTTTGCATTTTCGACATTCAAGTTTACTTTTTAGTTAAAAGTTAAAAAAAAAAAAGACTGGGGTTTTGGGCCACGTCACTTCACCCTGACTTCCAGGCAGGGGAGGGAGACTGGCAGTTGGGTTCAGCCACGTGGACAATAATTCAATCAATTGTGCCTATTGTACGAAGCCCTAATAAAAATTCTGGACATAAGAGCTGGGTGAGTTTCCTTCTCAGTATCGTCCCCTTTGTTGATGGGAGGGGAACACAGCATGGGGATGACAGCAGCTCTGCATTTGGATTCCTGCCAGACTTCCACATACGCATTCTCTTCCTCTGGCTGGTTCTAATTTGTATCCTTTACCTGTAATAAATGTGACAGTGAGTATAATCGCTCTCTGAGTTCTGTGAGTCTTTCTAGTGAATTACCGAACCTGAGGGTGGTCATGGGCACCTCTGAATTTGTAGCCCGTTGGTCTGTACTGAGGGTGGCCTTGGGGCCCTTCAAACTTGCAGCTGGTGTTTGAAGAGCAGTCTTTGAAGGACTGTGCCCTCTGACTGTGCAGTTTGCTGAACTCCTCTGCAAGCACTATAAGAGATTTTTAGGATGAGGGAATAGACACAAAGAGGTTAGATAATTTGCCTGAAGTCATACAGCTGGTGAGTGGAAAAGCCAGGATTCGGACACAGGCATTGCAACCATCATATGATATTGAATCAGCTACAGTGTCTGGGATAAATACCCAGGGTTCATCATCTCACACCAAGAGAAGTTAGGACACAAACGCACATGAGGAATTTAGGAGTGGAGGTTTAAAAGGCAAAAGAAAGAAAGAGAAAGGAAAACAGCTCACTCTCTAGTGAGAGAGAGAGGACTTTGGAGAGGAAAAGGCTGGCAGTGGATGTGCCAGATTTTATAGTCAGGCTTGAGGATGCGGTGTCTGATTTACATAGCACTCGCAGATTGGCTTGATCAGGTATGATGTTTACATAGGGCAAGGAGAAGGCTGGCAGACCCACTCTAATCATACTATGCAAATGAACTTTCCCCTTGGCCAGCGCCATCTTGTCTGCTTCTTCCTGTGCATGTGGCTGTCAGAGAAGGGAAGATGGAGCCGCCATTTTTAACATGCTTGGCATAACTGCCAGCGTCTACGTGTGCAGCTCAATTTTACAGGCTGCTGTTAGAAAGGAAAATTATTTGGGGCTGCTTTTCATTAAAAGGAAAACCTTACCAAGGAGTTCTGTGCCCTCACTATCTGCCTAAGTAATTTCTTCTTAACTCCTGTATCAATATTACTGCTTGATCAACTTTGCAGTAGGGAAAAATACCTAACTTAGCTATTCCACAGTGTGTACATATATCAAAACATCATGGTGTACATTTTATATATATATATAAAATATATATACACAATTTTTACTTGCCAATTAAAAATGTTTTAAAAGAATACCTAATAGCACCTTAGGCTTGTTTAGAACTGTTTTTCAAACATACTGTGGCTCACAGTATGAAATCCTGTATTTTCCATGACCACTCATTAAACATAACCTCTCCCATACACACACTCCAGAAATAAAAATATGATGCACCCTGATATTTTCTTTTTTCTTTTTTTTTTTTTTTGTTGTTTTAAGATGGAGTCTCGCTCTGTCGCTAGGCTGGAGTGCAGTGGCACAATCTCAGCTCACTGCAACCTCCACCTCCTTGGTTCAAGCAATTCTCCTGCCTCAGCCTCCCGAGTAGCTGGGACTACAGGCATGTGCCACCACGCCCAGCTAATTTTTGTATTTTTAGTAGAGATGGGGTTTCACCATGTTGGCCAGGATGGTCTCGATCTCTCGACCTCGTGATCTGCCTGCCGCGGCCTCACAAAGTTCTGGGATTACAGGCGTGAGCCACGGTGCCAGGACCACTCTGATATTTTCTATTCCCAATTACTTGTATTTTCAAAATGCTAGAAACCTACCAAATTTATTTCCTATTCACTTAAGAATTTTGCACCAACAATGTGGTGTAGACAGTAAACCACATTTAGAAATGCTGGCTTAGAAATTTGCTTTAAAATGGTACTTTCCAATTATGCCTTTAAGTAAGAATAATCTGGGGAATTTTTCAAGAAAAATCCAAAACCCAGGTCCCACCAACAGAGATTTTGACTCATTTAATCTGGGATGGGGGTTGGACATCAATATTTTATGTTATTTAAGTCTCTGAGCGATTCTAATGTACAGCCAGGAGCTAAGAGCCACTATTTTAAAATATTATCTGCTTCAAAATCTTAAGCAAATGTTTTAAAGAATAAAGACATTCTTTTATTTAAAAGTGAAAGCACATGATGAAAATACGTGGCTAAAACTAGTGACCTAAATCCTTTGCAGCTCACTTTCGTTGGCTGTGATATCTGGGGTAGCATTTTGTCTAAACTGCAAGGGCAATTTTTTGAGTAGTCAGAAATAAACGTGATAACTAACTTTGTAAGTTTAAAGACATAACATTTTGGTGACCTTTCTTTTCACTTAAAAGTAATTTTATTATTAAGAAGATAAATATTATATATATAAAATATATATAATATATACTCCAGAAAATGAGATTAAAAAAGCATAGATACCTGTGTGTCTATCACTCAATTAAGAAAATAAGGTTATAATCTGACATTCATATGACTAAAAAAAAGAAAGAAAATAAGGACTATTATCATCATCTGTGTGGCCTTCTCTGTTTGCATTTCCTTTGTTTATTAGAAATAAACCCAAGGCCAGGCACGATGGCTCACGCCTATAATCCCAACACTTTGGGATGCCAAGGCATGCGGATTGTCTGAGCTCAGGAATTCAAGGCCAGCCTGGACAACATGATGAAAACCTGTCTCTACAAAAAATACAAAAATTAGCTAGGCATGGTGGCGCACACCTATAGTCCCAGCTACTCATGAAGCTGAGAGGTGGGAAGATCACTTGAGCCTGGGAGGTGGAGGTTGTAGTGAGTTGAGATCCTGCCACTGCACTCCAGCCCGGGTGACAGAACCAGACCCTGTCCCAGGAAAAAAGAAAAAAAAAAGAAAGAAAAAGAAATAAATCCTATCCTAAATATTGTGTTATCTTGCAATTCTTAGAGGTTTAACAAGTTTGTATACTTACATCATTTAGATGCATGCTTTTGGGTTTTAATTTAATGGAATCATATTCCATGCATTGTGTGCCTTGCATTTTTTTCATTCAGAAAATTCAAAATTATCTTTCTGAGATTCATCCACGTTGTCGTAACTGCTTTATTTTCACTGTTGTATAGTATTCCATTCTATAGATATGCGGCAATCTATCCATTCCATTGCTGCTGGGCATTTGTGCTGCTTCTAATGTGATGCTATCATAAATTGTACAGCTTTGATTGGATTGGTCCATGTCCCCTGATGCACATGTTTGAGGGTTTCTTTAGGACTTGTACCTGTAAGTAGGAACATCCGGTTATATGACACACACCTCTTCAACTTTACTAGCCAATGCCAAATTATTTCTCAAAGTTATTGTGTCACCCACCAGCAGATAATTATAATTTGCATTGCTCCACATTGTCAACACTCAATATTATCAGATTTTATTTTTGCCAGCCTGGTGAGTGTAAAATTGTATCTTGATGTATCATTTCCTTGAGGTTAATGAGGCTGAATATTTTTCCCTGTATTTATTGTCTCATTGGGTTTTCTCTTCTGTAAAGTCCTTGTTCTAGTCTTTGCCCTTTTATCTACTGGGTTTTCATTTTCATAACTACTTATATGTCAACCTATCACATTCTCTTAAAACAAAATATGCCACAGTAAGATGATCTTCAAATATAAGTCCACCCCCCAACCAAAAGTAATTTGTATGGAATTCCATAAAGTTTTTAGGTTATCATTTCTAAATACACAGAATAGGTAAGTTTAAAACAGGATATTAAAAATTACCCAAACAACCCACAGATAGCCAGAGGTTCCTGCTTTTTTCCATTTCAAATCTCCCTTGATACCGAGCTACATTACTCTAGGGAGTAATGTGGAATCACATGCAAGGCTCTGTGTTCACAGTGGGACAGAAACAAGGCTAGAGAAGAAAAGCTTCTGACAAAGCCAAATATTGTGGATGAAAACAGAGGAATACGATCGGAAAGCAATTTGTCAAGTGGAGTATTCTCCATGCACCTGCTTTCCTGCCAGACAGGATAAAGATTGTTACTAAAGCTAGACAAATGAGTAACACAAATAAAAAATAGAATTATCACAATGCAAATAACTATGACTTCAGTTGTATAGTTCAATAAAAGTGTTATTAAAAATCCTTGCAGTAGCGTTTATGAATATAGACAAGCTGATTCTAAAATTTATAGAAAAGGCAAAGCAACAAAATAGCTAAAACAATTTTTTTTTTTGAGACAGAGTTTCACTCTTGTTGCCCAGGCTGGAGTGCAGTAGCGCAATCTCGGCTCACTGCAACCTCTGCCTCCTGGGTTCAAGCGATTCTCCTGCCTCAGCCTCCTGAGTAGCTGGGATTACAAGCACCCGCCACCACGCCTGGCTACTTTTTGTATTTTTAGTAGAGATGGGGTTTTGTCACATTGGCCAGTCTGGTCTCAAACTCCTGACCTCAAGTGATCCACCTGCCTCCGCCTCCCAAAGTGCTGGGATTACAGGCATGAGCCACCGCGCCAGGCCAACAATTTTAAAACAGAAGAATAAAGTTGAAGGAATCATATTACCCATGTTTAAGACTCAGTATAAAGCTATAGTAATCAGGCCGGGCGTGGTGGCTCACGCCTGTAATCCCAGAACTTTGGGAGGCCAAGGCGGGTGGATCACAAGGTCAGGAGATCGAGACCATCCTGGCTAACACGGGGAAACCCCGTCTCTACTAAAAAATACAAAAAATTAGCCTGGCATGGTGGCAGGTGCCTGTAGTCCCAGCTACTTGGGAGGCTGAGGCAGGAGAATGGCATGAACCTGGGAGGCAGAGCTTGCAGTGAGCTGAGATTGTGCCACTGCACTCCAGCCTGGGCGACAGAGCGAAAACTCTGTCTCAAAAAAAAAAAAAAAAAAAAAAAAGCTATGGTAATCAAAATTGCTACCATGAATTCAGTCCTGAGTTCTAAGATAGAGGGATTTTAATAAAAGGCAGCTTTTTAATTATTTATTTATTCAATTATTTATAATACATTGCTCCCCCCTTGTTCCAAATTAAAAGATTTGAGTCACCCTATCAAAATAAATACAGTATCGAATGAATAACATACAAGTGAAAACGTAAGGGTAAAACAAACAAAGGAAGTCTAAAATTCACTTAAAACATATACAAGGCCAGGCACAATGGCTCACACCTGTCATCCCAGCACCTTGGGAGGCTGAGGCAGGAGGATCACTTGAGCCGAAGAATTTGAGACTGGCCTGGACAACACAGTGAGACCCCATTTCTACCAAAATAATTTTTGTTTAATTAGCTGGGTGTGGTGGTGCATTCCTGTAGTCCCAGCTACTTGGGGGGCTGAGGCAGGAGGATCACTTGAGCCTGACAGGTTGAGGCTGCAGTGACCCCTTATCACGCCACTGCACTCCAGCCTGGGTGACAGAGTAAGACCCTGTCTCAATTAAACACACACACACACACACACACACACACACACGCACTATCCAAACATACATACAAACTGTAAGACCCTCTCTACCCTCTGGAAATACAATGCAAATTTAGCTAAGAGCTTTCTAGCAGCCGGCTCAAAGAAAGAAGCAAAGTTGGTTGCATGTCCACAGTATTCATAAAAAAGCAGAAGCATAGGAGAAAATGTAATTTTCTGATCCTGTGAATTGAGAAAAATTTCTTCCAGTGTAGAAGAACATACCCGTGTGGGTGCAGTGAGGGTGTGAAATGTCAACAGCATTGGAGCCAGCAGCTTCAGCAATGACAAGAAATAGCATCCATCTGGCAGGGGGCAGTGGCACACACCTGTAATCCCAGCACTTTGGGAGGTCAAGGCAGGAATATTCCTTGAGGACAGGTGTTCAAGACCAGCCTGGTCAACTTGGCGAAACCCCGTCTCTATTAAAAATACAAAAAAATTAGCCAGGCATGGTGATGCGCTTCTATAGTCTCAGCTACTTGAGAGGCTGAGGCAGGAGAATTGCTTGAACCTGGGAGGTGGAGGTCGCAGTGAGCTGAGATGGTGCTGCTGCACTCCAGTCTGGGCAAAGAGTGAGACTGTCTCCAAAAAAATAAAAAAAGAAAGAAAAGAAAAAAAGAAGTACCATCACTAGCACAAACATCAACAATTTGACCCCAAGTACCCACAGCCTTTAGACAAATCAGTGAGAGCCAACAGCAGACAGGGGTGTGGCCTTCAACTGGCCTCTGAAGAAAGAAGAGCAAGATCAGAAACTTCAAGGCAATCAAAGGAAGAAAGTCACAGAACATTGGTGAGATACTGCTTATGTTGCCGAAACACCAGGGGTGCGGTCTAGGTCCTGCTGCTCGTGACACAGAAAGCCAATCACTAAGATGCCGAGTACTGCCAAGGAAGAAGGCTTTAACCTGGTGCTGCAGCCGAGGACACAGCAGCTCAATCTCAAATCCATCTCCCTGACCGACTAAAACTAGGGGTTTATATAGGAGGGAAGAAATGTAACAATGTGCAAGAAATCCAGAACTAGGGAGGGACACGGAAGCAATTATGATGAATGAGCGGTCCAGCATCTCACTGTTAGGATGTGGTGATCTGGTGAGTTTTAGTTCTTTGACACTTTTTTTGAGAGGCCTGAAGGTTCTTTCCTGAGGAAGGAACTCAGATAAAACACGCCTGTAATCCCAGCACTTTGGGAGGCCAAGGCGGGCGGATTGCCTGAGCTCAGGAGTTCAAGAGCAGCCTGGGCAACAATGGTGAAAACCTGTCTCTACCAAAAAAAAAAAAAAAAAAAGTATAAAAATTAGCCAGGAGTGGTGGCATGCACCTATGGTCCCTCTCAGCTATTTGGGAGGCTGAAGTGGGATGATGGCTTGATCCCAGGAGGCAGAGGTTGCAGTGAGCTGAGATCGTGCCCCTGCACTCCAGCCTGAGCACAGAACCAGATTCTGTCTCAAAAAAAAAAAAAAAAAAAAAGAAAAAAAAGAAAGAAAAAGAAAGTAGAGTCAAATACTTATGCATAGGGATAGTGGAGAAAAGGATATTCAATAATTAAACGCATCAGATTGAGCATATGACACTTATTTCTGTTGCCTCCAGAAACTCTGCTAAAATGAGAATAAAATTTTTGAAATGAATAAACATAGTAAAGGGGGAACGTGAACAGCAACATAGCAGTTAGAGTTCTGGCAGGAAACAGATTGGCATGCTCAAAGGAGAAATGAAGAAAATTTAATGAGGAAACTATTTACAGAGGTGTGGGCAGGATTAAGAGAACCAAAAAGAGATGCTAAAGTACCCAGGCACTAGCAACACTGGGAAGCTGTCACCATCCCTAGGCCTCAAGGGGCAAGTGGAAAGAATAATTACTGTAACCTGGTAAGAACTCCAGGCATAGGAGAAAGTCACCCTAGGGGAGCCATGGAGTTAGGTACAAGTTTTCTGCCACTACCAACACAGCAGCCTCCAGGGAAGAGGCACATAAAAAGGGGGCACAGCAATGGCAATAAATGCGCTTACATCTATTATTCTATCCCCTCCCACTCTGCATTCTTCTTCCAGTCACTCCAGTTAGCTGAATCGAACTGGATGCCAAAAATCAAAGGAGTGCAAGTCCATAGGTGTTATCTTCTCAGGATACGGAGCGGGGCAGAAAAATATGGCTAATGGATGTGGAGGGACAAAACACAGAACGAACACAGGTGCAGACAAGCAATGTCAGCAGATTTCTGGAAGATAGAAATTACTAGTGTTACTCAAATTATGAAAGCTTAAAACCAAGAGTATGCTAATGAGAAGAAAACTGATATTGCCAGAGGATCTTGGACATGCTCAGAATTTGGAGGCACCAGGTATCTCTAAAGGCAGAAATTCATGTTACAGATGAAAAGAGAAGGATCCATTGAAAAACCTTACATGGCTCACTCAGACCCCTAGAACTCCATTTTTCTTTTCTTTTCTTTTTTTTTTTTTTTTTTTTTTTTGAGACAGAGTCTTACTTTGTTGCCTACCCAGGCTAGAGTACAGTGGTGTGATCTCAGCTCACTGCAACCTCTGCCTCCCAGGTTCAAGCGATTCTCCTGCCTCAGCCTCCTGTGTAGCTGGGACTACAGGTGTGCACCACAACACCTGGCTAATTTTTTATATTTTTGGCAGGGACAGGGTTTTGCCATGTTGGCCAGGCTGGTCTCGAACTCCTGACCTCAAGTGATCCACCTGCCGCAGCCTCCCAAAGTGCTGGGATTACAGGCACGAACCACCGGCCCCGGCCAGAACTCCTTTTTCAAAGACAGATGGACCTTCTTTCCCACTCCAGCAGAAGACTGACTGTGTGTTAAGAAACTTACAGCATCTAAACATAGGGATACCAGGCATAGCTGAAGGCAATAGGAATTATCAACATTCAGAGGGGTATCACCATTATATTGCTAAGTTTAAGGTTGAACTAGTAATTATTACATAGAAAACTGCTAAAACAACCCACAGGGCAATTATTAATTCTAATATGAATAAAAATTTATCTTATCAGTATTATATTACTTGGCTTAACATTGAGCAAGTGTTATATAGTGAGATAATATAAACAGTATAAATATTGATATAAACAAAAATGTACTACAAATATATTGGGAGTATGAAGAGAGGGAAGGAGGTTTTAAGTGTGCTAAATTTTGTGACTCCATAATAGAACGTCAATAGATAACATATAAATAAAAATATGAGAGGTCAAGCATGGTGGTTCATGCCTGTAATCCCAACACTTTGGAAGGCCGAGGCAGGAGGATCACCTGAGCCCAGGAGTTAGAAACCAGCCTGTTCAACATAGTGAGACCCTGTCTTTACAAAAGAAAAATTAAAAATTAGCTAGGCATAGTGGTGCACAATTGCAGTCCCAGCTACTCAGGAGGTTGAGGTGGGAAGATCACTTGAACCCAGGAGTTCAAGGCCGCAGTGAACCATGATCACGCCACTGCCCTCCAGCCTGTGCAACAGAGAGTGATCCTGTCTCAAAAAAAAAAGTGTGTGTGTATATATGAATATACATATATATGTACATATGAAAATTATGTGTGTATATCTATATATATGAATATTTTTAGAAATATTTTTAGAAAAGTAGATGTAAATAGAAGAAACAGCTGAAAGAATTAAAAGTTTTTCTTCCTGAGGGGCAGGTTTCAGGGTGGAAATGGTGGTATAGTGTTCTACTATTGTCATTACAAGCTTTGTCATTGTGTTAGACTTTTTAAAATTATGTGTATATCTCACTTTGACAAAAATTATTATTATTATTTTTTAGAGACAGGGTCTCACCCAGGCTGGAGGGCAATGGCATGATCATGGCTCACTGCAACTTTGACCTCCTAGGCTCAAGGGGTCCTCCTCCCTCAGCCTCCCAAGTAGCTGGGATCACAGGTGCATGCCACCATATCCAGCGAATTTCTTATTTTTTGTAGAGATGATGTCTGTCTACATTGCCCAGGCTGGTCTCAAACTCCTGGGCCCAAGTGATTTTCCTGCCTCCACCTACCAAAGTGCTGGGATTACAGGCATGAGCCACTGCACCCAACTGGCAAAACTAAAATTGACATTTAAACAAAAGAAGAAAGGGATATATGTATTGCCTACTTAAAACAACAAACAAACAAACCCTTTTGGAGAAATGTGACAGAATCCAAAACTTCTACAAGGTATCTTTTACAATATCCAAGGTACAATCTGAAATTACTAGACATAAAAATGAAATGTGACCCCAGTACTCAAGAGTCTGATGCTGACATGCATCAAATGTTGAGTTATAACAAAGACTTTAAAGCAGCTATTAAAATTGTGCCAAACAGAGTACATATATAAAGGAAAATATTACTCATAATTAATGAAAGAAAATACAAGCAGAGAAATAAAAACTATAGTAACCAAATGTAAATTATACAATTGAAAAGTTTAATATCTGAAATTTAAAGCTTTACTGGACAGGCTTAGAAGCAGATTGAAGGTGACAGGAGAAAAAAGTCAGAAAACTTGATGAGAAATCAATAAAAATTACTCAATCTAAGTAACAGACAGAAAATGGATGGGAGAGGGCGGGAATGAATAGACTCTCAGGAAACTGAGGGGAAATAGCAAAAGAGCTAAAATATGTGTAACTGGAGTCTCAGAAGTAAGGAAGAGAATATGGGACAGAAAAATTATTTTGAAGAAAAAGAGGTTGAAATTTTCTAAATAGGTTGAAAGATAAATTTATAGATTTAAGAAGCTAAGTAACCCTCTCCCCACCAAAAAAAAAAATATGAAGAAAACCATACCTGCACACAGTATAGTCAAAATGCTGAAAACCAAAGATAAAGAGAAAATCTTGAAAGCCAGAGAAAACAACTCACTATATGCAGGGAATGATGATACAAATGAATGCTGTTTCTTCTTATAAATAATAGATATCAGAAGACAGTGAAACAATATCTTCAAGTATAGGATCAGAAAAAAGTAAATCAATCCAGAATTCTATAGCCAGCAAAACATCCTTTAAGAATGAAGGCAGCCGGGTGTGGTAGCTCACGCCTGTAACCCAGCACTTTAGGAGGCCGAGGCAGGTGGATCACCTGAGGTCAGGAGTTTGAGACCAGCCTGGCCAACATGGTGAAACCCCGTCTATACTAAAAATATAAAAATTAGCTGGGCATGGTGGCAGGTGCCTGTAATCCCAGCTACTCGGGAGGCTGAGGCAGGAGAATCACTTGAACCCGGGAGACAGAGGTTTCAGTGAGCCAAGATAGCGCCACTGCAGTCCAGCCTGAGCGACACAGCAAGACTCCGTCTCAAAAAAAAAAAAAAAAAGAAGGCAAAATGAAAAGAAAAGGAGGGGAACATCACTAATCATTAGGGGATTGCAAATCAAAACTACAGTGAGATACCACTTCACACTATTAGGATGGCTACTCTAAACAAAACAAACTCCAGGATTGGACATAGTGGCTCAAGCCAGTAATCCTAGCATTTTGGGAGGCTGCAGCAGGCAGATCCCTTGAGCTCAGGAGTTTGAGACCAGCCTGAACAACATGGCTAAACTCCATCTCATTTTTAAAACTATATAAATAAATAAACTCCAGAAAATAGCAAGCATTGTCGAGGATGTGGAGAAATTGGAATCCTTGTGCACTGTTGGTGGGAATGTGAAATGGTGAAGCTGCTGCAGAAAACAGTTACGGTGGTTCCTCAAAAATTAAAAATGGGGCTGGGCACGGTGGCTCATGCCTGTAATGCCAACACTTTGGGAGGCTGAGGTGGGCCGATCACTTGAGGCCAGGAGTTCAAGTCCAGCCTGGCCAACATGGCAAAACCCCATCTCTACCAAAAATACAAAAATTAGCTGGGCATGATGGCACATGCCTATAATCCCAGCTACTCGGGAGGCTGAGGCACAAGAATTTCTTGAACCTGGGAGGTGGAGGTTGCAGTGAGCCAAGATCATGCCACTGTACTCCAGCCTTGGTGATAGAGCAAGACTCCATCTCAAAAAAAAATTAAAAATTAAAAATGTAATTTGCATATGATTCATCAATTTCACTTTTGGGTATATTCTCAAAAGAATTGAAAGTAGGGTCTTGGCCAGGCAAGGTGGCTCACACCTGTAATCGCAGCATTTTGGGAGGCCGAGGCAAGTGGATCATGAGGTCAGGTGTTCGAGACCAGCCTGGCCAACAGAGTGAAACCCAATCTTTACTAAAAATACAAAAATTAGCCGGGCATGGTGGCACGTGCCTGTAGTCCCGGCTACTTGGGAGGCTGAGGCAGGAGAATCGCTTGAACCCGGGAGGCAGAGGTTATGGTGAGCCGAGATCGCGCCATTGCACTCCAGCCTGGGCAACAGAGCGAGACTCCATCTCCAAAAAAAAAAAAAAAAAGAAAGTAGGGTCTTGAAGAGGTATTTGTACACCCATGTTCATGCCAGCATTATTCACAATAGCTCTAAGGTGGAAGCAACTCAAGTTGCAGATAAATGGATAAGCAAAATGTTATGTATACATAAAATGGAATATTATTCAGCCTTAAAAAAGAAGGAAGTTCTGACACATGCTACAACACAGATAAAACTTGAAGACATTATGCTAATTAAGCCAGTCACAGAAAGACAAATATTGTATACTTCCATTTGTATGAGGTACTTAGCATAGTCAAAATCTTAGAAAGTAGAATCATGGTTGCTAGGAGCTGGTGGGAGGAGAAATGAGAGTTATTGTTTAGTGGATATAGAGTTTTTGCAACATGAAAAGAGTTCTGGTGATGGATGGTGGTGATGGTGAAACTGCCTTTGCAAAATTATGACAGTAAGAGAAATCTGACATGGCTGACTCCATCTTGCTTTTAGCCTCATAGGCTGGCTATCTTTGCATATTCCTGGGTGTAGGCCAAGCTAAGTTTGGGAGAAATTTAGTTTATAGCTTAAATGATAGTAGCCCTTCCCCCAAAACTAAACCTCCCTTGTAAAACTAATGAAAGACCACCAAGTTAGGAGGGTAAGAGGGTCCTGAATTCTGCTAAGTTATGTGCATAGTTAAATGATTACCAGCCATTACTCCGGAGGTCCCAAGATGTGTAACTTCCTCAATTACTCCTGTAAATATCATCACTATTGTGAACCTAAGATTGGCCTTTTGAGATATCTTTTCAGGTTTCTGCATTTCTTTTTTCTTTCTTTTGAGACAGAGTCGCACTCTGGCTAGAGTGGAGTGGCGTGATCTCAGTTCATTGTGACCTCCACCTCCTGGGTTCAAGCAATTCTTACATCTTACCCTCCTGAGTAGCTGGGATTACAGGCATGCACCAGCACGCCCAGCTAATTTTTGTGTTTTTAGTAGAGATGGGGTTTCACCATGTCGGCCAGGTTGGTCTCGAACTCCTGACCTCAAGTGATTCTCCTGCCTCAGCCTCCCAAAGTGCTGGAATTATACGTGTAATTCCTGCATGGCCAGGCTTTTGCATTTCTGGCTACTGGATGGCCCCACCCAGACCAGCGACACCTCTAGTGGTCCTCCCCCAGAAGCCGACTCATCACACCAGGACTGGACTGTTTTCCACACCCTGTGATGGCATCCCCAACCAATCAGAATGCCCCCTTCCCTAGCCCCCTGCTCACCAAACTCCTTGAAAAACCCTAGCCTCTGAGACTTCTGGGAGATTGATTTGACTAATAACTCTGTCTCGCTCATGGCATAGCTAGCCTTGCATCAGTTACATGCTTTCTTTACTGCAATGCCATGGTCTCAGTGGATTGATTTTGCCTGTGCAGCAGGCAGGAAGAACCCACTGGGTGATTACAATGGTTGCCCAATAATTGGAATGTACTTAATACTACTAAAAATACAAAAGTTAGCTAGGTGTGGTGGTGGGCACCTGTAATCCCAGCTACTCAGGAGACTGAAACAAGAGAATTGCTTAAACCTGGGAGGGGAAGGTTGCAGTGAGCCAAGATCATGCCCCTGCACTCCAGCCTGGGCAATAGAGTGAGAGGCCATCTCAAGAAAACAAAACAAAAAAACCCTACTGAACTGCACACTTTAAAACATTTAAGATGGTAAATTTTATGTTTGTGTAGTTTACCATAATAAAAACATTGGGAAAAAGAATGAAGGCAAATTAAGACACTTTGGTATGAACAAAAGCGAAGATAATTCATCACCAGGAGACTTACACAGGAATAGAAATAGAAATAGTAATGAACAGAGTTTAGAGGGATTTAGAGAGAAATAATAAATAGAGAGATAGAAAAAAAGAGACCAGGCCGGGCGCGGTGGCTCACTCCTGTATTTCCAGCACTTTGGGAGGCTGAGGTGGGCACTTGAGGCCAGGAGTTCAAGACTGTGGCCTAGGTTGCAGCCTTGACCTCCTGGGCTTAGGTGATTCTCCCCCCTCAGCCAGGAAAGTAGCTGGGACCACAGGCACATGCCACCATGCCCGGCTAATCTTTGTATTTAATTTTTGTATTTTTTTGTAGAGATGGAGTTTCACCATGTTGCCCACGCTGGTCTTGAACTCCTGGACTCAAGCAATCCACCCACCTCAGCGCCTCAAAGTGCTGGGGTTGCAGGCATAAGCCACTCCACTCGGCCCTATGACACATTCTAAGGCCCAGTTTGGGCTGATCCGAAAAGAGCAGCAAATGTCTTCCATGAACAACAGTGTTAAATAAAACTTATAGCCAGGTACAGTGAGCTTAAGAGCCCTTGGGCCTTAATAGCCTGGCAGTACTCCCCATGGGCCTGTGGTAGTAGTGGCCACTGGGTGAGACTCCTCCGACTGTGGAAAGGAGAGGAAAGAGTTGGAAAGACGGCATCTCATGGTTTGAAAGCCAGCTCAGCTGCAGTACAATAGAACATCAGGTAGGCTTCTAAGGATTTTTATTCCAGGTCCGGGCTCTTGGATGACACCTCTGGACCTGTCCAGGGCCTGGGGGAACTTGCCGTCCTGAAGGGAAGGACACAGGCCTGGCTGGACCTGCCACCTGCTGATTGTAGAACTCAAGGGCCTTGAGTGAACACAGGCAGTAGCCAAGTCGTAGTTACAGTGGGTCTTAGGTGAGACCCAGTTCTGTACTGGCTTCAGGTCCGACCCAGAGTAGTCCTAGTGGTAGTAGCCACAGGAGTGCTTGTGTCACCCCATCCTTAGCTCCAGGTGGCTCAGAACAGAGAGAGAGAGAGAGAGAGAGAGAGAGAGAGAGAGAGAGAGATTGACTCTGTCTCTTTGGGAGAAGGTAAGGGAAGAGAAGTGTCTGTGCTGGTAATCCAGAGAATTCTTCCAGATCTCATCCAAGAACATCAAGGCGGTACCTCTACGAGTCTGCAAGAGCCACAGCATTACTGGGTTTGGGGTGTCCCCTAAGGCAGCTTAGATTACAACACTCAAGTCCTTCTAAGTACCTAGAAAGCCTTTCCAAGAAGGACAGGTATAAACAAGCCCAGACTGTGAAAACTACAATAAATAATAGTTTTGGGCCCAGACACAAATGAACACCCATAAACATCAAGACCATCCAGGAAAATGTGACCTCCCCAAATGAACTAAATAAGGCATCAGGGACCAATTGTGGGATCTAAAAATCAACACAATTGAACTCATGGACATAGAGAGTAGAAGGATGGTTACCAGAGGCTGGAGGGTTGGTGGGCAGAGGGAAAGAGATGATGGTTAAGGGGTACAAAAATGTTTAGAAAGCGTAGGGCACAGTGGCTCATGCCTGTAATCCTAGCACTGGGAGGACGAGGAGGGTGGATCACCTGAGGTCAGGAGTTCAAGACCAGCCTGGCCAACATGGTGAAACCCTGTCTCTACTAAAAATACCAAAAAAAAAAAAAAAAAAAAAAATTAGCTGGTGTGGTGGCAGGTGCCTGTAATCCCAGCTACTTGGGAGGCTGAGGCAGGAGAATCGCTCAAACCTGGGAGGTGGAGATTGCAGTGAGCCGAGATCATGCCATTTGCAGTCTAGCCTGGACAAGAGTGAAACTCCATCTCAAAAAAAAAAAAAAGTTTAGAAAGAATAAATGAGCTAGAATTTGCTGGCACAACAGGATGACTATGGTAAAAAAAAAAAAAAAAATATATATATATATATATATTTCAACAGGGTCTCACTCTGTCACCCAGGCTGGAGTGGAGTGGTGTGTGATCATAGCTCACTGCAGCCTCTACCTCCTGGGCTCAAGTGATCCTCCCACCTTAGCTTCCCAAGTAGCTGGGACTACAGGCACACACCACCACATCCAGCTAATTGTGTTTATTTTTTTGTAGAGACGAGGTCTTGCTACGTTGCCCAGGCTGGTCTCGAGCTCCTGGGCTCAAGTGATCCTTCTGCCTTGGCCTCCCAAACTGCTAGGATTACAGGCATGAGCCCCTGCACCCAGCCCCAAAATAATTTAATTGTACATTTAAAAATAACTAAAAGAGGCTGGGCATGATGGCTTACGCCTGTAATCCCAGCACTTTGGAAGGCGGGTGTATGGCTTGAGGTCAGGAGTTTGAGACCAGACTTGCCAACGTGTCGAAACCCTGTCTCTACTAAAAATAGAAAAGTTAGCCAGGTGTGGTGGAGCATGCCTGTGATCCCAGCTACCCGGGAGACTGAGGCATGAGAATCACTTGAACCCAGGAGGCGGAGGTTGCAGGCAGCCCAGGCGACACAGTGAGACTCCATCTCAAAAAATAAAATAAAATCTAAAAAACTAAAAGAGTATAATTGGATTGTTTGTAACACAAAGGATAAAGGCTTGAGGTGACGAATACTTAATTTACCCTGATGTGATTATTATGCATTGCATGCCTGTATCAAAACATCTCATGTAGGCTGGGCACGGTCATCTTTTTAAAATAATAATTTTTAGGCCTGGTGCGGTGGCTCACGCCTGTAATCCCAGCACTTTGGGAGGCCCAGGCAGGTGGATCACTTGAGGCCAGCCTGGCCAACATGGCAAAGCCCTGTCTCTCCTAAAAACACATAAATTAGCCAGGCGTGGTGGCACTGCCCATAGTCCCAGCTACTTGGGAGGAGAGGTTGCAGTGAGCCAAGATCACGCCACTGCACTCCAGCCTGGGCAACATTCTCACTCATAGGTGGGAATTGAACAATGAGAACACATGGACACAGGAAGGGGAACATCACACTCCGGGGACTGTTGTGGGATGGGGGGAGGGGGGAGGGATAGCATCAGGAGATATACCTAATGTTAAATGACGAGTTAATGGGTGCAGCATACCAACATGGCACATGTATACATATGTAACAAACCTGCACATTGTGCACATGTACCCTAAAACTTAAAGTATAATAATAATAAAATTTAAAAAAATTCTCATGTAACCCAATATATACCTACTAAGTACCCACAACAATGAAAACATTTTAAAAATGGGAGAAATTTTTTTAAAAAGGAAAAAAAAAGAGACAAGCATTTTCTACATATTTGAGGATTTAGATTCACGGGATTGAATTGGGAAGAGTTTTTTGTTGTTTTTGTTTTTGTTTGAGACAGAGTCTCGCTCTGCCACCCAGGCTGGAATGCAGTGGTGCGATCTCAGCTCACTGCAACCTCTGCTTCCCAGGTTCGAGTGATTCTCCTGCCTTAGCCTCCCAAGTAGCTGGGATTACAGGTGCCCGCCAGTATGCCCAGATAATTTTTTGTATTTTTAGTAGAGACAGGGTTTCACAATGTTGGCCAGGCTGGTCTCAAACTCGTGACCTTGTGATTTGCCCGCTGGGTTCTGTTTTCAGAGTGAAAGACTAGCATCTTATGTTATCTTTCTATTGGGCTCATTAGATCTGTAACCCTGTCTGATGGGTTTGATTATAGCATCCTACAGCATAATTTTAAACAAGATATAGAAGGGAGAAATTCCTTCTCAAGTAGGGTACAGCAGTGGTTCTTAAACCTTAATGTGCATAAGAATTGCCTCACCTCCAGAAATGCCAATTCAGAAGGTTGTGGGGTGGGGCCCAGAATTCTTCATCTTAAACAAACTCTTCAGGATATTTTTATGCAGGTGGTCCACTTGGAAAAATACTTGGATTGTACTTGATAGAATGTCCTGACCTAGTTCTCTGGCTCCCTGGGTATTACATCAAAGGAACACTTGTAAAGGGGCAGAACTACCGATTTCATGAGTCCCAGGTGGAGAACAAGCAAAGACTGAAAAATAAACCGCATGAAGGTGCAGACAAGACATTTCTGGTACTCTGCAAAGCTCCCTGGAGAGAGAATGCAAAACCCTTGATTTCCTGACTTTAATAGTAAAACAACAAGCATCCCCCCACCCCACCCACCCTGCGCCATCCACACACACTTTGCCAGGACGTGCTGGATGCGCCCTCTAACCTCTAGGGGGAGCACAAGGATTTCCTCACACTAACGCCTTTGCTGTGGGAAAAAAATATACACGTCAAGGAGACTTTGGGGCTTAATTATTGCTAAGGGTGAAGTTTAACAAGAATGTAAGGACCTAAGAGATTGGAAGCATTTGCTCACCCATGGACTTTCCTTTCCTGCTTGTTCCTATTTAAATCTTTGGATTTTGGCCGGACGCAGTGGCTCACGCCTGAAATGCCAGCACCTTGGGAGGCCGAGGAGGGCAGATCACTTGAGGTCAGGAGTTCGAGACCAGCCTGGCCAAAATGGTGAAACCCCATCTCTACTAAAAATACAAAAATTAGCCAGGCGCGGTGGTGGGCGCCTGTAATCCCAGCTACTCAGGAGGTTGAGGCAGGAGGATGACTTGAACCCGGAAGGTAGAGGTTGCAGTGAGCCCAGATCGCACCACTGCACTCCAGCCTGGGCGACAAAAAGAGACCCTGTCTTTAAATACATAAATAAGATTAAATAAATCTTTGGATTTTAAAAAGTGGTTCTCTGGCCAGGTGCAGTGGCTCACGCCTATAATTTCAGCACTTTGGGAGGCTGAGGCGGGTGGATCACCTGCGGTCAGGAGTTCAAGACCAGCCTGACCACCATGGTGAAATCCCATCTCTACAAAAATACAAAAATTAGCCAGGCATGGTGGCGTGCGGCTGTAATCCCAGCTATTTGAGAAGCTGAGGCAGAAGAATCACTTGACCCAGGAGGCGGAGGTTGCAGTGAGCTGAGACTGTGACACTGCACTCCAGCCTGGGCGACAGAGTGAGACTCCATCTCAAAAAAAAAAAAAAAAAAAAAAGGTGGTTCTCTGAGGTAGCCCTGAGATAGCCTGGGGTGGATTTGTCAGGGTTGTTAAAGAAAAAATTATTCAGGCCAGGTGTGGTGGCTCACATCTGTAATCCCAACACTTTAGGAGGCTGAGGCGGGTGGATCACCTGAGGTCAGGAGTTCGAGAGCAGCCTGGCCAACATGGGGAAACCCCATCTCTACTAAAAATACAAAAATTAGCCAGGCTTGGTTGCGTGTGTCTGTAATCCCAGCTACTCAGGAGGCTGAGGCAAGAGAATCACTTGAACCCAGGAGGCAGAGGTTGCAGTGAGCTGAGACTGCACCACTGCACTCCAGCCTGGGCAACAAAGCAAGACTCTGTCTCAAAAAACAAGAAAAAAAAGAAAAAATTATTCTGACCTGTGCTAAAGAACAGTAAGACAGACTTTATTCTGGGGAACTGCTGCAATGGAGTCTGGGAGTTGGGGAGAGAGGTTGGGCTCAACCCTCAATCCAACAAGGACAAGTGGGAATTTTTAGCCAAGGAGCAGAGTGAGGGGGTCAATGGATGGAAAATTACTAAGAGCAGATAAGAGGATTCTTGCTAAACAAACTTAATAGGATTGTTGCTAAAGGCAACCCAAGGACTTAGACACTGTGGGTGGAGGATGAAGAAGCCAGCTATCAAGGGTGTGAGGGTATCACTACAGTCACTGAGCAGGATTCTCACTGAAACTGGGCTATGCAGGCCCAGCAAGGACAGGGCCAAGGCCTAGTGCAGAGGACCGTCAGAGGAGCATGACTAAAGTTCAGCCGAGGAGAAACTCTTGGTCAGGATTTATAGATAAAGGGCTCTTTTTCTCTTGGTTTCCCTTTCTTTTTATTTACCCTTCCTAGGGTAAAATCAAAGTGTGACCCTGAGGGTAAAGTACCTGGGAGGCCTACTTTTTACCTAGGCCTTGATCTTGAAGTCCTGCCTGGCTTAGCAGAAGATTAGAGAGGGAATGGGGCCACATTTCCAGCCTGCAAAACAGTAACTAATGTTCTTATTCTCCATTTATAGATATTTTCTCAAAGATCTAGTGGGTTGTCCACCTAGAATCCAAAGTTTCTCTTTCACACATACAACTAACTTTGATGATACAGCATTTGACTGAAATAGTAAACACAGACACACAAACACACACAAGTGTACACACACACATACACATAATGATTTAGAAAGTAGGTATCTAAATATTGAAGCGCCTTTGCTTTTCTAGACCTAGAAAATAGATTAAATAATACACCTACTTTTTTTTTTTTTTTTTTTTGAGTCGGAGTCTCCCTCTGTTGCCCAGGCTGGAGTGCAGTGGTGTGATCTTGGCTCACTGCAACCTCCACCTCCAAGGTTCAAGCAATTCTTCTGTCTCAGCCTCCTGAGTAGCTGGGATTACAGGCATGTGCCACCACACCCTGATAATTTTTGTATTTTTAGTAGAAATGGGGTTTCACCATGTTGGCCAGGCTGGTCTCGAACCCCTGACCTCAGGTGGCCGACCCGCCTCGGCCTCCTAAAGTGCTGGGATTACAGGTGTGAGCCACCAAGCCTGGATAATAGTATGACTAAATTTAATCTAAGACTCCCTAGAATGTGTCACAAAAAAGCAAAAATTGAATAAACTACAGAGCAAGCCAAGCATTAAGACTGCCTTGTGCTTTCCTACTCAGTGTACAAGTAGAGAAGGCCTGGGATGCGCCAGGCACTGTGCCTGATAGCTCCTCACTTGAAATAAACTTACAAAAGTGATTGTATCCCCCCTTTAAAGATGAGAAAAAGGTTTAGAAAGGCTAAATTGTCCAACATAAAACTGATGGAGGCTCGGCGCCGTGGCTCACGCTTGTAATCCCAGCACTTTGGGAGGCCAAGGTGGGCGGATCACGAGGTCAGGAGATCAAGACCATGGTGAAACTCCGTCTCTAACTAAAAATACAAAAAATTAGCCGGGCGTGGTGGCAGGCGCCTGTAGTCCCAGCTACTCAGAGAGGCTGAGGCAGGAGAATGGCGTGAACCCGGGAGGCGGAGCTTGCAGTGAACCGAGATCGTGCCACTGCACTCCAGCCTGGGTGACAAAGCAAGACTCCGTCTCGGAAAAAAAAAAAAAAAAAAAAAACTGATGGAAAGGCAGAATCAGGAGTTTAACTGGGATCTGACTATAGAATCTTACTAAAATTATTCCTACCATTTTAAAGTAATATACTTTAAACTGAAATGCATCATAACACATTCTTTGTAACCTATTGTTTCCAAATAATATGTCATGAACAATCTCATAATCTTCAAAGTCATCTTTTTGAAATAATGATTTTTAGGCCTGGCGCAGTGGCTCACGCCTATAATCCCAGCACTTTGGGAGGCCAAGGTGGGCAGATTACCTGAGGTCGGGAGTTCGAGACCAGCCTGACCAACATGGAGAAACCCTGTCTCTACCAAAAATACGAAATTAGCTGGGCATGGTGGCGCATGCCTGTAATCCAAGCTACTCGGGAGGCTGAGGTAGGAGAATCACTTGAATCCGGGAGGCAGAGGTTGTGGTGAGCCAAGATCGCGCCATTGCACTCCAGCCTGGGCAACAAGAGCAAAACTCTGTCTCAAAAATAAAAATAAAAATAAAAATAAATAAATAAAATAATGATTTTTATACTTTTAGAAAAAGATAGCAGCTTAAGAAGACATGGTTGATTCCTCTCCCTCCCAATTCAAAAAAAATGAAAAGACTAAAGATGAAAAGCAAGGAAAACTTTTCATCAGCACTGAAAATAGAGAAGAGAGGTATGCAAATATTAGACATTTTGAGGAATCTTGCTAGACTTAGGGCAGATGGCATCCGATTAAAGAATACACAGATAGGGACGGGTGTGGTGGCTCACGCCTGTAATCCCAGCACTTTGGGAGGCCGAGGAGGGTGGATCACCTGAGGTGAGGAGTTTGAGACCAGCTTGGCCAACATGGTAAAACCCTGTCTCTACTAAAAATACAAAAAAATTAGCCAGGCGTGGTGGCGGGCGCCTGTGATCCCAGCTACTCAGGAGGCTGAGACAGGAGAATCACTTGAACCTGGGAGGCGGAGGTTGCAGTGAGCTGAGATCACACCACTGCACTCTAGCCACCAAGTGTGAAACTGCCTAAAAAAAAGAATACACAGATAGGCTGGGCACAATGGCTCACGCATGTAATCCCAGCACTTTGGGAGGCTGAGGCGAGTGGATCACCTGAGGTCAGGAGTTCGAGACCAGCCTGACCAACATGGTGAAACCCCGACTCTACTAAAAAAAAAAAAAAAAACCAGGCGTGGTGGCCGGCACTTGTAATCCCAGCTACTTGGGAGGCTGAGGCAGGAGAATTGCTTGAACCCAGGAGGCAGAGGTTGCAGTGAGCCAAGATTGCACCATTGCACTCCAGCCTGGGCAACAAGAGCAAAACTCTGTCTCAAAAAAAAAAAAAAAGAATCCACAGACAGAGTCGTCAGATTTGGCATATAAAAATATAGAACACCCAACTAAACTTCAATTCAGATAATTTTTATAGTAACAATTATTTATACTATTGTTCCATGCAACATTTGCTGTTAATCTTAAACTGAAATTAAACTGGGCACTTCTACTCCAGAGGCATTCATAGCTTCCCCAAAGGAACTGCAAGACCTGGAAGGAATGAGAGAAGGAAGAAAGGAAGGAAGGAAAAGAGGAGGGAGGGAGATGCTGTAGCTCAGGTTTGGAGGGATGAGCCTGGGATTGGAGGAGGAAAGGGAGGCTGATTACAAAGCTGAATCTGGATTTCCAATTAGTTGCTGAGGATCCTGTGGGTTGTAGTGGCCCTAAGCTCCAGGGATGTCAAGTGATACTGGGGTTTGTTTGTTTGTTTGTTTTGAGACAGAGTCTTGCTCTGTCACTCAGGCTGGAGTGCAGTGGCTTGATCTTGGCTCACTGCAACCTCTGCCTCCTGGGTTCAAGCAATTCTCTGACTCAGCCTCCCGAGTAGCCGGGACTACAGGCGCACATCACCATGCCCAGCTTTCTTTTTTCTTTTTTTTTTTTTTTTTGTATTTTTAGTAGAGACGGGGTCTTGCCATGTTGGCCAGGCTGGTCTTGAACTCCTGACCACAAGTGATCCGCCCACCTCAGCCTACCAAAAAGCTGGGATTATAGGCATGAGCCACTGCACCTGGCCAATGTCAGGTGATATTAAGCTGCAGACAGTCTAGAGTGGAAAAATGAGCCCTCTAGAACACAATTTGGCTATATATCAAAATATATAAAACATGAATATACTTTGACCTAGCAAGATCTTGTATAGGAATTTATTCTGCAAAAGTAATAAATGTGTTATTTAAAGTGTTGTGTATAATAAAAAATGGATACAACTTAATGGTTAATAAGAGAAGAATGTTTAAGTTATGGTACATACATATTGAGGAATACTATGCAGTCATTAAGAATTATTTCATAGGCTGGGTGCAGTGGCTCATATCTGTAATCCCAGTACTTTGGGAGGCTGAGGTGGGCAGATCATTTCAGCTCAGGAGTTGAAGATCAACCTGGCCAACATGGCGAAACCCTGTCTCTACTAAAAGTACAAAAAAATTAGCTTGGTGTGGTGGCGGGCGCCTGCAATCCCGGCTTCTTGGGAGACTAAGGCACAAGAATCACTTGAACCCGGGAGGCAGAGGTTGCAGTGAGCTGAGATCAAGCCACTGCACTCCAGCTTGGGTGATGGAGTGAGACTCTGTCTAAAAAAAAAAAAAATCATAGATTATTTATTTTTATTGACATAGAAAAATTTTCATTTTCTATGTAAGTAAAAAAAAGGCAAGCTACAAAACTGCATTATGGTAAGATTCCGTTTGTGTAAGAATATATGTATATTTAAATATATATGCATTTGTACACATACAAAAATATCTGAAAGGGTATATACCAAAATGTTTTTTGTTGTTGTTGTTGTTGTTGTTGTTTTTGAGATGGAGTCTTGCTCTGTTGCCAGGCCGCATGATCTCACCTCACTGCAATCTCTGCCTCCTGGGTTCAAGCGATTCTCCTGCCTCAGCCTCCCGAGCAGCTGGGACTACAGGCGCCCACCACCACACCCAGCTAATTTTTGTATTTTTAGTAGAGACAGGTTTTCACCATGTTGGCCAGGGATGGTCTCGATCTCCTGACCTCGTGATCCGCCTGCCTCATACTCCCAAAGTGCTGGGATTACAGGCGTGAGGCACATGCCCACCCACACCAAAAGGTTAACAATGGTTTTCTCTAAGTAATAAAAATATATATGGTTATTTTTTCTTTTTACTTATAACCATTTTATAATTTTTCTTAAAAATATATATTACCTGAGTAAATTTTTTTTTTTTTTTTTTTTTTGAGACAGAGTCTCACTCCATCAGGCAGGCTGGAGTGCAGTGGCGTGATCTCGGCTTATTGCAACCACCACCTCCCAGGTTCGAGCGATTCTCATGCTTCAGCCTCCTAAGTAGCTGGGACTACAGGCATGCGCCACCATGCCTGGCTAATTTTTGTATTTTTAGTAGAGACAGGGTTTACCCATGTTGGCTAGGCTGGTCTTGAACTCCTGGGCTCAAGTGATCCGCCCTCCTCAGCCTCCCAAAGTGCTGGAATTACAGACATGAGCCACTGTGCCCAGCCTACCTGAGTAAATTTTTTTAGGTTAAAAAAACTTTGGTGATCATATGCTTTGATTAGTTATAAAATAAGATTGCAATTATAAAATGGGCCTTACTATTAAGGATGTCTAGTTCAGATAAATGAACACTGAGCTTCTACTGGGGACAGGCCATGTGCAGCAAGCTGGGAAGAGATAAATTGCACACACCCTGTCCTCCAAGAGTCTAAAGGACGCATTCCTTGCTGATGTTCCTTGGCTCTCGGCCTTGCTGGCTTCAAAACCCCATTTTGTCAGCCCACTTGAGATCATCTCTCATGTTAACCAAACTCATAGAGCCCGGTGAACAAACAGGGACAATGTGTTAATTGGTACTGAGAATTATCACAGTCACACAGGCCAGAGTAGTACTCTTTTGTGTGTGTGTGTGTGTGTGTGTGTGTGTGTGAGATGGAGTCTCACTCTGTCGCCCAGACTGGAGTGCAGTGGCGCGATGTCGGCTCACTGCAAGCTCTGCCTCCCAGGTTCACACCATTCTCCTGCCTCAGCCTCCCAAGTAGCCAGAGTAGTACTCTTAGCATGACCAGCATACGCTTTCCCTGTGAGGTGACCTACACAGGGAACCAACTTATAATTAGGATGTGGCTTGCTCACCCTGGAATCATACCAGTGGCAGGTAGTCACTTAAAAGCTTAATGGAACCCAGCTAAAATAAACAGGTAGTATCCCTTCAATAAACATAGTCTTGCCAGTGGAACCATAAATACCACAGTTTGAGATTTTCTCTTCCCTGGAAAGTGGCTGGATGGTATAAGGATGTAGAAAAAAATCACGCTGGGCGCAGTGGCTCATGCCTGTAATCCCAGCATTTTGGGAGGCCGAGGCAGGCGAATCACCTGATGTCAGGAGTTCGAGACCAGCCTGGTCAACTTGGCAAAACCCCATCTCTACTAAAAAAGACAAAAATTAGCCGAGTGTGGTAGTGGGCGCCTGTAATCCCAGTTACTCAAGAGGCTGAGGCAGAGAATCGCTTGAACCCGGGAGGCAGAGGCTGCAGTGAGCCAAGATCGTGCCACTGCACTCCAGCCTGGGCAACACAGTGAGACATCGTCTCAAAAAAGAGGATATAGAAAAAAATTGGCCGGGTGCGGTAGCTCATGCCTGTAGTCTCAGCACTTTGGGAGGCCAAAGTGGGTGGATCACAAGGTCAGGAGTTTGAGACCAGCCTGCCCAATATGGTGAAATCCCTTCTCTACTAAAAAAATACACACACACACACACACACACACACACACACACACACACACACACACACACAAAAGTACCCGGGTGTGGTGGCAGGTGCCTGTAGTCCCAGCTACTCAGGAGGCTGAGGCAGGAGAATCGCTTGAACTCGGGAGGCAGAGGTTGCAGTGAGCTGAGATCGCGCCACTGCACTCCAGCCTGGGCGACAGAGCAACACTCTGTCTCAAATAAATAAATAAATAAACAAACTCATTTTTTTCCTACTGTAATAACACAGAATACTTCTGTGACCCCAGATGTGTAGGGAGTTTTCCCATGCACACCAAGCAATTAATTCTGCAGCTGGTTCCCCTGCAGACACCAGCTGTGTGTTTTCTAATTCAATTCAATTCTTACACTGTTTACCTGGAGACCGAATCAGATCCCACAGGTTGAGGTCAGTCTCGTAGGGCTTCCTCCCACTCACATGCCAGTCACAAGTTCAAGCCTCTGGAACTTCTGAACAACTGGCTGTAATGGAGTTGTCACGAACTCTTCTCAGGTTCTAATAATTTGCCAGAGCAGCTCACAGAACTCAGGGAAACTCTTTACTTATGTTTACCCATTTATTATAAAGGATATTACAAAGGATACAGATGGCAGCCAGATGGAAGAGATGCAAAGGGCAAAGGGGGCACAGAGCTTCCATGCCCTCTCTGGACATGCCACTCTCCAGGAACTTCTATCTGTGCAGCTATCTGGAAGCTCCCCAAACTCAGTCTCTTTAGGTTTTTATGGAGGCTTCATTACATAGGCTTAATTGATTAAATCATTGGCCATTGGTGATCAGATCAGTCTTCAGCCCCACTCATGTCCTCCAACGCTAGGGGATGGGGCCAAAAGTCCTATTCCTCTAATCATGCCTTGGTCTTTTAGGTGACCAGGGCCCATCCTGAAAGTACCTACCTAAGGGCTGTCAGCCACCAGTCATCTCATTAGCATACGAAAGACAGTCCTATCACTCCAGAGATTCCAAGGGTTTTAGGAGCTGCACGTCAGGAAACTGGGACAAAGACCAGAATATATATTTCACCATATCACAAATGTGCACTGCCAAAATTTAGTATTTTTTGATTTTGTAAAGACAAGGTCTCACTCTGTTGCCCAGGCTGGAGTGCAGCAGTAGAATCACAGCTCCCTGTAACCTTGAACTCAAAACTCCTGGGCTCAAGTGATGCTCCCACCTCAGCCTCCCAAGTAGCTGGGACTATAGGTGCATGCCACCATGCTCAGCTATTTATTTATTTATTTATTTATTTTCATAGAGATGATGTCTCACTGTGTTGCCCATGGCTGGTCTAGAACTCCTGGCCTCAAGGGATCCTCCCACTTCGGTCTCCCAAAGTGCTGGGAGAATCTTAGAGATTCTCCTTTTATAACAACTGCCCAGGCTAACAAACCTGCTTCCTTCAGATTGCACTCTTAATACATACAGTCACAGTTTGCTCTGATCTGGAGCCATTCCATTTCTTTTTTTTTTTCTTCTTTTTTTTTTGTTTTTTTGAGACGGAGTCTTGCTCTGTCGCCCAGGCTGGAGTGCAATGGCATGATCACGGCTCACTGCAACCTCTGCCTCCCGGGTTCAAGCGATATTCCTGCCTCAGCCTCCCAAGTAGCTGGGATTACAAGCGCCCACCACCGCGCCCGGCTAATTTTTGTATTTTTAGTAGAGATGGGGTTTTGTCATGTTGGCCAGGCTGATTTCTAACTCCTGACCTCAGGTGATCCACCCGCCTCAGCCTCCCAAAGTGTTGGGATTACAGTCATGAGCCACTGCCCCCGGCCCATTCTGTTTCTTTAAAGTAATTTTTGTCTATTTTTTCTCTGCAATTTTTTATTTGGGTAGTTTAACACTGATCATGATCTTATTTTCTTAATTTCCCATCCTAAAAGGGATTTTTTTTCTTTTTTTTTTTTTTTTCGGAGACAGAGTCTCACTCTGTCACCCGGGCTTGAGCACTGTGGTGAGATCTCAGCTCTCTGCAACCTCTGCCTCCCAGGCTGAAGCCATCCTCCTCCCTCAGCCTTCGGAGTAGCTGGGACTGCAGGAATGTGCCACCATGCCAGGCTAATTTTTGTATTGTTTGTAGAGATGAAATTTCACCATGTTGCCTAGGCTGGTCTTGAACTCCTAAGCTCAAGTGATCTACTCAGGTTGGCCTCCCAAAGTGCTGGGATTACAAGGCATGAGCCACCATGTCCAGTGCAACAAACTTACATATTAAATGCAGTTTTTTAAAATTAGGGAAAAAAAAATCCAAGTCAGGAATAGGGGGTGGGATAATAAAATCTGGTGGGAATTTGGTGAAGAAGTTGAGAACAACCACATAAGGCCTTCAGGAACTGCTTACTTGCTTCTCAGTCAGGATCAAGCTTGGGCAAAATTCTCATCACAAGTATAAAACTAAGCTCCTATCATATAAATTGGAAGATACCTGGCACAGCTCTCTCCCTTGAGATGGTCACAAAGTAGTTGACACTTGGCTGTAGCTTTCTCGGTTGCCGCCTTACCCACCTAGAGTTTCCATGATAGGAACCCAAGTCTACACAGTCTACTCTACATCCTGGGTTCTAATGAACACCCAAAAAGGGTGCTGCAAAAGGGGCACCCAAAAAAGCAAAGTAAGCACATTCTCCTGGGCCTGGCCAAGCAAGGGCAGGCCTAGAGCATACCTGTCTGCACATTTGCATACACACACACACACACATAGTTATTTAGAAATAATTCCACATTTTTATAAAAAATGTGTTGAGGGCCGGGCGCGGTGGCTCACGCCCGTAATCCCAACACTTTGGGAGGCCAAGGCTGATGGATCACGAGGTCAGGAGATTGAGACCATCCTGGCTAACACGGTGAAACCCCGTCTCTACTAAAATTACAAAAAATTAGCTGGGTGTGGTGGCAGGTGCCTGTAGTCCCAGCTACTTGGGAGGCTGAGGCAGGAGAATGGCTTGAACCCGAGAGGTGGAGCTTGCAGTGAGCTGACATGTGCCACTGCACTTCAGCCTGGGCGACAGAGCAAGACTCTGTCTCAAAAAAAAACAAAAACAAAAAACAATGTGTTGAACTGGGCGCAGTGGCTCACATCTGTAATCCCAGCACTTTGGGAGCCCGAGGCGGGCGGATCACAAGGTCAAGAGATCGAGGCCATCCTGGCCAACATGGTGAAACCCTGTCTCTACTAAAAATACAAAAATTAGCTGGGCGTGGTGGCACATGCCTGTAGTCCTAGCTACTCAGGAGGCTGAGGCAGGAGAATCACTCGAACCTGGGAGGGAGAGGTTGCAGTGAGCCAAGACTGCGCCACTGCATTCCAGCCTGGTGACAGAGTGAGACTCTATCTCAAAAAAAAAAAAAAAAAAGTGTTGAAATAGTTATCAAGCAATTTTTTTGTTTTTGTTTTTGGGTTTTGAGACAACGTCTTGCTCTGTTGCCCAGGCTGGAGTTCAGTGACATGATCCTGACCCATTGCAACCTTGAATTTCTGGGCTCAAGCCATCCTCCTGCCTCAGCCTCCCAAGTAGCTGGGACTACAGACACACATCACTACACCTGGCTAAGTTATTTCATGTTTTTCTTTTTATTTAATTTCATACATGGGTGTTTCAGCGTTTAGGGCTTCTAAACACTGAATCCAATCTTGATGATACCAATTCCAGTATTTTTACAACTTGTTTGTTTTTGAGACAGGGTCTGGCTCTGTCCGTCAGGCTGGAGTTGCAGTGGTGTGATCACTGCTCACTGCAACCTCCGCCTCCTGAGCTCAAACCATCCTCCTACCTCATCCTTCCAGGTGGCTGGGACTACAGGCACATGCCATCACGTCCAGCTAATTTTTTTTTTTTTTTGTAGCGATGGGATTTCACCATGTTGTCCAGGCTGGTCTTGAATTCCTGTGCTCAAGTGATCCACCTGCCTTGGCCTCCCAAAGTGCTAGGATTACAGGTGTGAGCCACTGTGCCCAGCCTTTTACAGTTTTTAAATTAGAATCACATGATGTTCATGTTCATTAGGCAATTTATATTTGTGTATTCTAAATTTCAACATGTCTCAGCCATGGGATACATTCCTGACTCATTTAAGAAGCTATGAAAAGCGTTCATCAGACACCAAAATAGCTCTTAAAGTTAATTATACTTAGAGTCAGGATTTTGTGCCAAACACTCAATACCCAACCATTAATTATTATTTTCTAAATATTGAGAGTGTAGTATAAGCTGATAAGTACATGTCAAAACCTGGTCCCTGCCCCAAGGCTTACCCTATAAATGACAAAACTGAATCCATTTAGACTACACACTACATCAAATTAAAAGCAAGGCTAACTTGAAAGGCACAAAGTTCAAGGTCCTTTCTTTTTCTTTTTTTTTTTTTTGAGACAGAGTCTCCCTCTGTTGCCCAGGCTGGAGTGCAGTGCCGCGATCTCGGCTCACTGCAACCTCCGCCTCCCAGGTTCAAGTGATTCTCCTGCCTCAGCCTCCCAAGTAGCTGGGATTACAGGCAGCCACCACCACGCCTGGCTAATTTTTGTATTTTTCGTAGAAATGGAGTTTCACCATATTGGCCAGGCTGATCTTGAACTCCCAACCTCAGGTAATCCACCCGCCTCGGTCTCCCAAAGTGCTGGGATTACAGGCACGAGCTAGTGCACCCGGCCAGTTCTTTCTGTAAATCCCTAAGAAGTTACTATAATTCTAACCAGAATTTTTTGATTTGAAGGTAGAATTTTATATTTTTAATCTTCTAACAATGACATTGCTGCTGTTCCAGGAAAGAACATTGAACTTAAGAAGACAATGCTAGAGTTGTAATACAATTTCAGTTACGCTCTCCTGTTGTTCCAAATGACAAAATCCAATAGTAAAAGAAAGCCCTTTGCTATCACCTAGATTCTTCCTAAGCATCTAAAGGAAGTAAAATATATCAATCCATCTTAGCTGGGTGTGGTGGCATGTACCTGTAGTCCCAGTTACTCGGGAGGCTGAGGCAGAAGAATTGCTTGAACCCGGGAGGTGGAGGTTGCAGTGAGCCGAGATCGCACCACTGCACTCCAGCCCGGGCGACAGAGCGAGACTCCATCTCAAAAAAAAAAGAGTGATCTGCCAGGCGTGATGGCTCATGCCTGTAATCCCAGCACTTTGGGGGGCTGGCAGGAGGGTTGCTAGAGTACAGGAGTTTTAGACCAGCCTGGGCAACATGTAGAAAAAAAAAATTAGCCAGGCATGGTGGCACTCACCTGCAGTCCCAGCTACTTGGGAGGCTAAGTTGGGGGAGGATCACTTGAGTGTGGGAGGTTGAGACTGCTGTGAGCCATGATCTCACGACTGTACTTGAGGCTGGGTGACAGAATGAGATGGTGTCTCAAAAAAAAAAAAAAAATTATCTGTGCTCCACTATACATCCCACCCTCTCTCTATTGAGAAGATGAAGCACAAGTGCAGAGGTGAGACAGAGAGGGTCCCTGGACAGTGTTCAGTCCCTAATTCCATTTTGCCTGGCCCCACTCCTGTCCTTGGTGACACTGGCACACTCCACTTACCTTGTATATAATTAATTCTTTTTTTGCCTAAGCCCTTTGAGTTGATCCCCGTTATTTGCAACCAAACATTTTAACTGATACAAATACCTGGTCACTTACATACGAAATTAAGAGTTTTATGTTTCCCTATACAAAGGCATAAGAAAAGCACCTGCTGAAATTATTGAAATGGGAAGTGAGGCTTATTCCTTTTTGAAACACATGAAAAAAAAATCTCACCACAGTGAGCCTTTGGCTTAAGGAAGCTTTGTTCAGTAGATTTCACTGAAGGAGCTGTTCTTTGCAAGGCTTTGATCACTGTCTTTGCCCAGAATAACTTTATTTTGAATGTATCAAAAGCCTTAGAAAACATTGAACTGAAAATCATAAAAATAGAGATTTTTATTATGTTTGAAGAGTTCTATTGCCTAGAACTATTCTATTACACAAGGAAAATAAACTGGGCCTCTCCCAGGATACCACCACCAGCTTTTGTTTAAACAGGTCATACAAAGTAGTAATAGATAACTTCCACCAAAAAATGCTATTATTGCTTATATCTTAGAAAAAGAAGAAACTAGACAGAACTTGGAAAAGAACCACCTGACTATTCTCATCTGGTAGGAGAATCTTAAAAATCTCCTGAAGGACTCCAGAGAATTAATCTTGCTGAAATGTAGATGGCATTATCTTATGTCATAATATTTATTTTTTTCAGCATCCAGTGACATTTAGTGAACATTTAATGGAGCCAGGCACCATGTTACTATCTTGTTTACTCTAATATCCTCTTTGCTTAGCATAGTCTTAGGCATATGAAAGGCACACAATAAATATTTTTGATGAGCAAATGAATAACAAAAGATAAATAAGACTCAACCCATGTTTTCTGGTAAGCAGAGAATAAAACAATTTGTGTGATGAGACAATAACTAAATGATTTAAAAACAACCATCTTTTGAATATTTTATATAAAAAAATTATATGAATTGATAAAATAAGAATACCATAAAACATAAATAGTGTCTTAATCTGTGCAGGCTGATATAATAGAACGCCATAAACTGCATAGCTTATAAACAATAGAAACTTATTTCTCACAGTTCTGGAGCCTGGGAAATCCAAGACCATGGCACGAGTAAATTCAGTGTCTGGTGCTGGCCTACTTTCTGTTTCACAGATGATGCCTTCTAGCTGTGTCTTCACTTGGTGGAAGGGGCAGGTAGCTCCTTGGGGTCTCCTTTTTTTTTTTTTTTTTTGAGATGGAGTCTCGCTCTGTCATCAGGCTGGAGTGCAGTGGTGCAATCTCGGCTCACTGCAACCTCTGCCTCCGGAGTTCAACGACTCTCTTGCCTCAGCCTCCTGAGTAGCTGGGACTACAGGCATGTACCATCACGCCCGGTTAATTTTTTGTATTTTTTAGTAGAGACAGGGTTTCACCTTATTGGCCGGTCTCAAACTCCTGACCTCGTGATTGGCCTGCCTTGGCGAAATCTTGGCTCATTGCAACCTCCACCACCCAGGTTCAAGCGATTCTCCTGCCTCAGCCTCCCGAGTAGCTGGGACTACAGGTGTGTGCCACCACGCTCTGCTAATTTTCTGTATTTTTAGTAGAGATGGGTTTTCACCGTATTAGCCAGGATGGTCTCAATCTCCTGACCTCATGATCTGCCTGCCTTGGCCTCCCAAAGTGCTGAGGTTACAGGCATGAACCACTGCGCCTGGCCAAAATTACTTTTTTTTTTTTTTTTTTTGAGACAGAGTCTCACTCTGTTGCCTGGGCTGGAATCAGTAGCATGATCTTGGCTCACTGCAACCTCTGCCTCCCAGGTTCCAGCGATTCTCCTGCTTCAGCCTCCCAAGCAGTTAGGACTACAAGCACCCGCTGCCACGCTTGGCTAATTTTTGTATTTTTAGTAAAGATGGTGTTTCACAATATTAGTCAGGCTGGTCTTGAACTTCTGACCTTGTGATTCGCCCACCTGGGCCTCCCAAAGTGCTGGGCTTTTTTATTGATAAAATTAGTTATTTTCCTCTGTGAACTGTTCACATTCTCCATCTTCTATGGTGTCAATGTTGTGTCCCCCCAAAATTCACATGTTGAAATCCTAACCCTCTAGGTGATAGTATTAGGAGGTGAGGCCTTTGAGAGGTGATTAGATCACCTAATCACAAATAGGATGGGTGCCCTTTAAAAGAGACCCCAGGGAGGCCGGGCGCGGTGGCTCATGCCTGTAATCCCAGCACTTTGGGAGGCCAAGGCGGGTGGATCACGACGTCAAGAGATCGAGACGATCCTGGCCAACATGGTGAAACATCTCTACTAAAAATACAAAAATTAGCCGGGCATTGTGGCGGAGCCTGTAGTCCCAGCTACTTAGGGAGGCTGAGGCAGGAGAATCACTTGAACCTGGGAGGCAGATGTTGCAGTGAGCCGAGATCGCACCATTGCACTCCAGCCTGGGTGACAGAGTGAGACTCCGTCTCAAAAAAAAATAAAAATAAAAATAAAAATAAATAAATAAATAAATAAGGCTGGGTGCGGTGGCTCACGCCTGTAGTCCCAGCATTTTGGGAGGCTGAGGCAGGTGGGTCACCTGAGGTCAGGAGTTCAAGACCAGCCTGGCCAACGTGGCAAAACCCCGTCTCTACTAAAAAATATAAAAATTAGCCGGGCATGGTGGCAGGCGCCTGTAGTCCCAGCTACTTGGAAGGCTGAGGCAGGAAGAATTGCTTGAATCCAGGAGGTGGAGGTTGCAGTGAGCTGAGATTGAGCCACTGCACTCCAGCCTGGGCAACAGAGCGAGACTCTGTCTCAATAAATAAATAAATAAATAAATAAATAAATAAATAAAATAAAAATAAAAATAAACAAATAATTAAAAGCCAAAACTATCCTGTTGAGGAATGGCTTCTGAGGTTAATTCGCAAGCAGTGTACTTTTTGTTCTTTCTTGCTCTCCTTCATGGTTCTACTAAATTAAACATCCTTAAACTATAGGCACAAGAAAAGGAAGAAAACATATCCACTCTATACACGCAACACAAAAAGCAAAAACAGAAAAGGCAAATGGCACCGAGCACCCAAATCCTAATCTCTATCTGAGACCCAAGGCAGAAAACTCTCCTGATCTGGCCATTCCTCCCTAGGGCAGATAAGAATGTCAACCAGCTTGAGGATGCAGGGCCCCGCTTTGGGCAGTGATTTCATAGCTCTAGGTTTTAGATGTCCATCTTGTTTTCATGAGAGAAGTTAAGACAGGGCAAGTGTCAAGCATGTCATTTAAACAATCAAAATGTGGCCTCGCATTTGCCTGTGGTTTACCCTTGTAGATTGTTCCGTCCCCTGGCATTAGACCAAGGGCAGCTATTCCATTTCCACTTCCCTAGGGCCGGGGTAGGGGCAGTTAAGCAGTTATCTTTCTTAAATTTCATTGGCTTAAGGGCTGGGCATGGTGGCTCACGTCTGTAACCCCTGCACTTTGGGAGGCCACAGTGGGACATTTCATTGGCTCAAGACATTATCTGGGAGAAGAAAATGTCAATACTAGGAAAAAAAAAAAAAAAAAAAGCCTGGCCAGACTGGGCCAAGCAGTACAAAATGATCTGATCCATTGTATATTTTAAATTAAAAAACTGTTGCTATCTAAACCCAGAAGAGCATGGCCTATGTTTCTCTATTTAAATGAGGAAAAGAAAATCACAACTAGGCATAGGAAAATTCTCCAAACACAAGGCAAAAGCCTGATTTTACCTCTCTTTCTTCATACCAACCAAAGTGAGACAATCCCAAACAGCACTTTACCCTAATTCCCAGGATTGTTACAAGGATTAAATGAAATAACAAAAGTACTCTGCCAAGTGCAAAATGCTACATTAATATTAGTTACGTTATTATAAGAAGGGAACTGGTATCACTCCAGGTTTGTGCTGCAGACAGCAACGATGAAATAAGCAGACAGCTGGGCATATCTGCCAGACAGGAAACATTTCTGACTCTTGAACACAGATTGGATTCCCTTTCGCTGAGCTACACCTGCCAGACTGGAAGCCCCTGGTGCTTTGGTAATGAATGAACACGTCCTGTCCAGGGACTTTAGGGCCTCGCCCAGTCTGGCCTTTGACTCCACCCTGCAGTGCTGGCCTAGGCCCAAGTCTCGGCTAACTTCCCCCTTCAGTTTGCCTGGTACTGCCTTTCCGGTACCATCAGGCCTCAAGCCAGAGTCTCAAGTTATGCACAACATTAGTGGCCCAATAATGAGAACACTCCTTCCTTCCATGCCAGGGCTGGGAATTTCCCTTCTCTCCTCTTTCCCCTGAAGTCACTCCTATTTCCACTTCTCTGCTTTTCTTCTGCCCCGGACTCCAGAAGGAGATCTGTAAGGTCAAGAAGCTAAGAAAAGATCCAAGGACCAAATTTGTCCCATTGACCATTCTTGTGAATTGAGTCTCCACTGCTCCTCACCAGTGCTCATTCCTTGCGAAGTCCTTGTTTCTAGTGGCCAGAACATGGTAGGGTCTTTTAAAAATTATTAATTTAAAAAATATATAACTCATACCTACTGCTGTTCACGTGGAACTCTTCTCCACTTCTGCCTTCAAAATTCCCATCTGAATATTTGCTACGAATGTCAAGATCTGTGCCTGCATTGGCTCCACCCAGGCCTGTGCCCCAGGCTTCAAGTCTCAGGGCAGAGCATCTGCAGGGATGGGAACTTGGGGTTGGGGGTTGAAAAATGGGAAATGATGCCATCTGCTCAATCCCTTTCCTCTCCCTTCCTCTGCTCCTCCAGTGCCATCCATTTTCAGGGTTAGTTTGTTTGGCAGGTGGGAAATATTATCATAGGAAACTCGGATCCTCAGGAAAGAATGAAGAGTGCCCAAAATAATAAATATCTGGATAAATCAAGACTATTTTTGTTGCCTGTAACCTATTAATTTCTTTATAAATTATTTATTTAAAACTTGGCTCATGCCTGTAATCCTAGCACTTTGGGAGGCTGAGGTGGGTGGATCACCTGAGGTCAGGAGTTCAAGACCAGCCTGGCCAATATAGTGAGACCTTGTCTCTACTAAAAATACAAAAAATTAGCTGGGCTTGGTGGTGGGAGCCTGTAATCCCAGCTACTCAGGAGGATGAGGCAGGAGAATCGCTTGAACCTGGGAGGCGGAGGTTGCAGAGAGCTGAGATCGCGCCATTGCACTCCAGCCTAGGCAACAAGAGTGAAACTCCATCCTAAAAAAAACAAAACAAAAACAAATAAAAAACCCCCAAAGTTACAGCATTGTTTTGAAGGTAAAACTATAACATGAAATATGAGCTCCAGGTTCTCAGTCTTTCTACTCTATATGATAATGGTATTTATCTTATGGGATGCCTGGACTCTAGAACTGTTGCTTCTACCTATTCTATACTCTTCTTACACTGCAGGTTTGTTTTGGGGGTAAACATGGTAGAAATGGGGTACAGGATGGAATCTTTGAAAACTAACTTAAGGGGAGATTGATAGAACATAAGATACATATGGTTGAGGAGAAGGATCAATAATACATGGAAAAGAAAACAGATAGAGACTAAACGCTCCCAGGGTAAAAGCTAGGTCACCAGGAACAAGTCTAAGAATCTTGCCTAGACTGTGGCAGAACTAGAGGAAGAGAAATGTAACATGGTAGGACTTAGCTCCTCCAGGTATTTGATTTCCAGCTGGTGCCAGAAGTAAAGAAAAGATGCTGGGATTTGGAGAATACTAAGGAGGAAATGTATAGACACACTTCCAAGGCTGCCCTATGAGAAGAGGAAGTCAAGGAACTGGGATGGCGGCTGCATCATCTAAATGAATCATGAACACTGAAAGACACTAAGGATGATGAAGGTCCTGGGCGGAGAGTACTGGCTGCTCCATGTGCAGAAATTCTTGAGGAATATATTGAGTGCCCTGGAAGATGGTAAATGATAAGGATGAGGATAGAGGATGGGTGTAGCTAGTGTTATAAGCCTCATAGGAGAAGGGGCTTTTGCATGTGAGTGGAAAACTAGGATCTGGATGCAGTCGAGGAGCAAGGAAAATGTTTCTTCAGCCACTTCCAAGGTCTGTGCTTCCCTCCTGTATTCCATTCTTTATCTTGTTGAATAGAACTACCATTACCCAAAAACCCAAGAACCCTTTACTCCTTCTCATTCCTTATATCCAACCACCAAATGCTTAATATTGCCCAAATTTATCCCTGAATCACACAGGGTGGGAGGTATGTGTGAGAGAGAAGATAGATAACTGGAGGTGCTTGCATTTTGGGCTGTGATAGAGTAGGACAGGATGGACAAACTGGCCTCAAAGTTCTGAAGGGAACTCTGGGATACAGTTGTTTTAGTACTTGGGATACTGTAGGCATGCATTCAGGACCCTGATTTCCAGCAGAGGTTGTTAGTTTTTTGGTTTATTTTAGGGGGGCTTTAAATTTTTTTTTATTCCTTTATAAGCATCTCTTTCTACAAATTCCATTTTTGTCCTGCCAAGGATTTGGCACCTCCTTTAGAAGGAAAGGAGACTCAGGGTAAATTGCACCAGGTCTAGAACCCGAAAACACAAATGACATTGGTCAAAGGATGGGAGAAAAATGAAGACTAGCTATGTGCCTAACAGGAATAAAAAATAGGTTTTACCTCTCAGACCAACTCTCTGGAGCACTATGTTGTGAAGGATTCTGGGGCTTTGACTCTCAAATATGGGCTCCAAAAGAGCATATCAGTTAACTGGTGAAGGGTGCAATGGGAATGAGGCCACGTGCTCAAGATTGCTATCCTTGGCCTGGGTGGTTTGTTTGCAGATAAGGACAGATTGGCTGGTCCCCAGCAAGTGAGGGGCCTCCTAGACTGATAAAAGAGTCAGGCTTCTCTGTGTCACTGAAGCTCAGGACCTGTCTGTCAGGTCTTGGTCAGGTTCTAATCGAAGAGTTAGGAAAAACACTGAGTGTGAGAGCGGGAAAAGCCTGTTTATCATCATCGATGTTTGGTAAATTCCTCCTAAGCTGGCTGGCCAGTTCAGATAGGCCTGGGTTTGGAGCCATCTCACCTTCACCTGCCTCAACAGGTAAGGAATGAAAGGATGCCAGGGGTTATTTGATCTACACAGATCAAATCAAGGGATATGAGTTTTGGACCCCAGACCAGCCCTCACCCTGCTTCTAAAAGCCAAAATAAATCTTGGGTCTTGGCCGGGCGTGGTGGCTCACGCCAATCCCAGCACTTTGGGAGGATGAGGCGGGTGGATCACCTGAGGTCAGGAGTTTGAGACCAGCCTGGCCAACATGGTGAAACCAGTGTCTACTAAAAATACAAAAATTAGCCGGGCGTGGTGGCAAGTGCCTGTAATCCCAGGTACTTGGAAGGCTGAGGCAGGAGAATTGCTTGAACCTGGGAGGCGGAGGTTGCAGTGAGCACAGATCTCACAGTTGCGCCACTGCACTCCAGCCTGGGCAACGGAGTGAGAGTCTGTCTCAGGAAAAAAAAAAAAAAAAAAAAAAAAAAAAAAAGAAATCTTGGGTCTTATATCCAAAAATCTTGAGTCTTACATTTGGTTACTTTTTTTTTTTTGAGACAGAGTTTCGCTCTTGTCGCCCAGGCTGGAGTACAGTGGTGCAATCTCTGCTCACTGCAACCTCCGCCTCCCAGGTTCAAGCGATTCTCCTGCCTCAGCCTTCCGAGTAGCTGGGACTACAGGCGCCCGCCACCACGCCCAGCTAATTTTTGTATTGTTAGAAGAGGCGGGGTTTCACCATGTTGGCCAGGCTGGTCTCCAACTCCTGACCTCAGATGATCCACCTGCCTCGGCCTCCCAAAGTGCCGGGGTTACAAGCGTGAGCCACTGTGCCAGGCCGACATTTGGTTACGTTCATTAGGAAACACTAACTCCTCCCTCACCCCAATCAAAAGAAAGCCTTTCCCCTTGAAGAAGCTTCTTGTCAAGGGCAAACCTTTGGGGTTTTGGGATACGGTGGCGGCTTGAGTTGAAGTCTGGTCTTTTGTGAGGAGACCAGGAACCGGGAGGGGAGAAAAGAGACAAATTCTGAGTAGGAGCTTCGCCTGTCCCTTGGCGAGGGGTGGGGAGGAAAGTTTAGCTTCGTCGTGCTATGCTCTATGGGGACAGAGTCTTCCTACTGCTCGGCGGAGTGTGACTAGCGTAGAGGGTGCTCCTCGTGGGCGCTCCGCGTGTGTTATGGAGGAGGGCGAGGAATGGTGAATGGATGACCGAGGGTATGGTTAAGTCCTCCAGGTCCCTGAGAAGGGTTCAAGAGGCCTGTAACAGACCCATGGGCAAGGGTGGGATCAACCTCCTTCCCACCTTCCACCCCCCAATTCCCAGAGAATTCGTTCCCCCAGATCAGTGGAGAAAACTTCGGCGAGTGAGAAGGTTCCAGGGAGAACCCCGTGGTGGGTGCAACAGGGATGTGGCAGGCACTGCTTGGGACTTTCCAAAACCCCGGCGTCTGCCGTGGCAGGAAAAGCACCACCCAAGCTCAGCATGTTACCTCGGGGAGGAGGAGCCAGGTGGGTCTGTGCAACTCCAGGAAGGGCTGCCAGGTCTGGGGCTTCGGGGCCTCCCCGAGGGCAGAGAGGAGCGCTTCGGACCCGACCGACTCGGAGCAGACCTTCAGGGTTCAATGCCCCGGAACTCCTGGGGCGAGGAGCCACGCCCGGGCAGTTTCGGGCTCCGGAGGGTGGGGAGTCGGTGCCCGGCAGCGGGCGGGCCGTCAGCTGCCCGGCCCGGCGCCTACCTCCCCGCCCCCCGGCTTCCTGCGGAGGCCGCGGCCGCCATGTTGTTGTGGGGCTGAGGCGGCGCCGGCGGAGCCCTGAGCGGCTGTGACAGGCTACGCAACAGGTTCGCGGGCGGCGGCCTGACGACCAAGCCAGCTGCAGTGGCGGCGACGGCGGCAGAGCAGGGTCTCCCCGCGCCTGCCCGCGCCCAGGCTGCCGGTGCTGAGGGACGCGGAGTCGCGCTGTGACGAGCGGGAGGCGCGGCGAGGGCGCCAGGTGGGTGAAGCCGCTAGCGGGGCTGCAGCAAGGCGCGGGGCAGGTGCGGGCGCCGCGCCCGCTGCCCGGAGGCTCTGCGGGTCGGGCTGAGGCGGCTGTGCGCTCCGCACGATGGGGACGGGTCCTCGGGAGTACGGGCGGCCCCCGAGCTAGGCCCCTGGCGGGCTCGGCCGTGCGGGGCGGAAACCTCCGGCCCCGGGTTCCTTCCTCTGCTGCCGGGCCGGGACAGACGCCGAGGGGGCCTGGGCTGGGCTGCCCCTTCCTTGCGGCCGAGCCCGGGTCCCTGGCCGCGGCCTCGTCTGGCAGGTGGCGGACGCCGGCGAGGGTCGGGGGTGGCGTGGCCCCCTCGCTTTCGGGGTGTGAGCAGAAGAGAGCTCTGGGGGCACCCGCACGCCTCCTCGGGGACCCATTTTATTTTCGCGGAGTTGGTTTTCCTTCCTGGCAAGGGTTGGTGCCGAATGTCAGGTGAGCCGCATCCCGGTGCGTCAAAGTAGCCCGAGTCACGAGAGGACAGTGGGCGGATGCTTGGCGTCTACCGCTCGCGTTCCTCCGGAGTTGGAAATGTTAAATTTACCTTCAGCGTTATTGACTTCCAGAATATACAGGAAGCACCGAGAGATGTAATCTCTCAGGCCAGATAAAGTTTATTTGTGTATTTATTTATTTATTTTTAAAGACGTCTGCATATGCATAGTGAGTGGGTAAACCGAGGCTGAAACTGCAGATGGCTTTGTATTCTATAGAAAGATGCTCCGTTTGGATTTATTAATTATGCGCCTTGTCGCTCTAGAATTACCAATGGCAAGTGTGCTTTATTTGAAACTTGTGTTAATACTGAAATAGGAATATTTTTTGATGGAGCCAACCCCTTTACGATAGGAATTAAGGTTAGCATAGAAATGACTTGCTTTGCTCCATGCTTCTAGTTTGTCTCACTAGTGTTTGCTTGCTTACTCAGAAATAGGCAAGGTGTGACTTGAAATTTTACGTTGTTAGTGAGCTCAGTTTAGGTAGCATAGCTCTTGTAGTTTAAAGCTTCTTAAGCGTTTCGAAAAATTGCCTCTCTCCCTGTGCTGGTTTGCTATATTGTTAATCAGTGATAAAACCTAAAAGCTACCTAGAAACATCGCATAAAACATTTACGCGAATTAATAATGACGTCCTTCCAAATTTAAAGATACTGACAACTCTGATGTGTTTTCCTTTAGCTTTTTTTGGCTGTGCCTGTGACTCTCTTGTAATTTCAAAAGTAAATAAAGTGGATGTATTTTATGTTTTTGAAAACGTGGAAAAAATGTGCATTGCTGCTATTTTGATGTAATATTAATAAGCAGTTGAAAAGCTTGCATTTTTTCACCCTTCCATGCATTGATAACTATTCCCTGTGCCCACCTTTGTAATGAAAGGTAAACTCGTCCAAGAAAACTTGACCTGTACAGAATTACTAAGCAGGGAGTTACCATTGTTCGGTACATCTCAAGGCTAAAATCTTGATCTCTCCTGAATATGAGGAGGTGTGTTAGGCATGTTTTGGGGATTGGATTAATAGTGTTAAAAAATTTGTATTTTCACAAAAATAGCATGTACCCATCACCCAAACTCAGCAGCTTTCAAGAAGCTTTTCTTTTTTTCTTTCTTATTTTAAAAAATCCTTTAACCTTATGTAGTTAGTATATCTTTTTTAAAAAGTAGAAAATCATGTAACCTTAGGATTTTTAGTTTTAATGTAGAGTTTCACAAATTTCCATCTTTAGTAAGACAAAAGGGTCACATATTGGCTGTCTCCTTCAACTATACTTTCTTCAGTATAAAATATGTTTACCATGGTTGTCATTTATCGAGCACGTAACTGCATGTTAGACTCTATGCTAAGTGTTTTACATAATCATTTAAAGCTCACTAAGGCCCTAGGAGTAATTATTATCTTCCCATCAAAAAGGTAAGTGAAATGTTAACCTGAAGTTTGACTACTTTAGGTCTCTGAGCTAGTAAGTACAATAGCCAGGTTTCAAACCAAGATCCTTTTAACTGCAGCACCTGTGCCTTATCTGGTAGAGTCATCTTGGTTCATACATTTAAAAAAGAGTTATCTATGTGCCGGGTGCCCTGGCTCATGCCTGTAATCCCAGCACTTTGGGAGGCCGAGGAGGGCGGATCACCAGGTCAGGAGTTTGAGACTGACCAATAAGGTGAAATCCTGTCTCTACTAAAAAATACAAAAAATTAGCCTGGCATGGTGGCGTGCGCCTGTAGTCCCAGGTACTCAGGAGGCTGAGGCAGGAGAATCGTTGAACCCGGGAGGCGGAGGTTGCAGTGAACCGAGATCGCACCACTGCACTCCAGCCTAGGCGACAGAGTGAGACTCCGTCTCAAACAAAAAAAAGAAAAAAAAAGTTATATGGGCATTCAGTAAAAAATATGTGTTTAGTGAATGAGTGAAAGTACATATTAGTCCATTAAGTAGCATTTTTACATATTGTATTTACTTGTAAAACATTTATATTAACAAGTTCCAGAAATGATTCAGAATAAACGAGTTACATTACCAAAAATGTGATATATTTATTACCATCTAACGGTGCATTTTCTTTTTCTTTTTTTGGATTCAAGTTTTTTTAGTACCTTTTTTATTTATGGAAAAAATTTGTGAAAAAACTGTTTTTGAAGAAAGGCAGACTTTCTTGTGTGCCGATTTTTTTTTATTTCTTACAAAAAAAACAGGATATATGTGCAGAACGTACAGGTTTGTTACATAGGTATACGTGCACCGTGGTGGTTTGCTGCACCTATTCACCCGTCCTCTAAGTCCCCTTCCCTCATTGCCCCCCCACAACAGGTCCTGGTGTGTGTTGTTCCCCTCTGTGTCCATGTGTTCTCAATGTTCAACTCCCACTTATGAGTGAGAACATAGGGTGTTTGATTTTCTGTTCCTGTGTTAGTTTGCTGAGGATGATGGCTTCCAGTTTCGTCCATGTCCCTGCAAAGGACATGATCTCATTCCTTTTTATGGCTGCATAGTATTCCATGGTGTATGTATATCACATTTTCTTTATCCAGTCTATCATTGACGGGCATTTGGGTTGGTTTGGTGTCTTTGCTATTGTAAATAGTGCTGTAGTAAACATACGTGTGCATGTGTCTTTAGAGTAGAATGATTTCTATTCCTTTGGGTATATACCCATTAATGAGATTGCTGGGTCAAATGATATTTCTGGTTCTAGATCCTTGAGGAATTGCCATACTATCTTCCACTATGGTTGAACCAATTTACATTCCCAGCAACAGTGTAAAAGCGTTCCATTTCGCCACAGACTTGCCAGCATCTATTGTTTTCCTGACTTTTTAATAATCACCATTCTGACTGGCATGAAATGGTATCTCATTGTGTTTTTTTTTTTTTGAGACGGAGTCTCACTCTTGTTGCCCAGTCTGGAGTGCAATGGCGCGATCCCAACTCACTGCAACCTCCGCCTCCTGGGTTCAAGTGATTCTTCTGCCTCAGCCTCCTGAGTAGCTGGGATTACAGACGCCTGCCACCACGCCCTGCCAATTTTTGTCTTTTTAGTAGAGACATGTTGGCCAGGCTGGTCTAGAACTCCCAACCTCAGATGAGCCACCCGCCTTGGCCTCCCAAAGTGCTGGGATTACAGGCTTGAGCCACTGCACCCGGCCATCATTGTGGTTTTGATTTGCAGTTCTCTGATGATCAGTGATGTTGAGCCTTTTTTCATGTTTGTTGGCCTCAAAAATGTCTTCTTTTGAGAAGTGTCTATTCATATCCTTTGCCCACTTTTTGGTGGGGTTTTTTTTTTCTTGTAGATATGTTTAAGTTCCTTGTAAATTCTGGATATTAGACCTTTGTCAGATGGATAGATTGCAAAAATTTTCTCCCGTTCTGTGGGTTGCCTGTTCACTCTGATGATAGTTTCTTTTTTTCTTTCTTTTTTTTTTTTTTTTTGAGACAGGGTCTTGCTCTGTCTCCCAGGCTGGAGTGCCGTGGTGCCATCTTGGCTCACCACAATCTCTGCCTACCAGGTTCACCTCCCAAGTAGCTGGGATTATAGGCATGTGCCACCACGTCCAGCTATTTTTTTTTTTTTTGAGATGGAGTCTCGCTCTTGTCCCCCAGGCTGGAGTGCAATGGTGCGATCTTGGCTCACTGCAACCTCAGCCTCCGGGGTTCAAGTGTGATTCTCCTGCCTCAGCCTCCTGAGTAGCTGGGATTACAGGCGCCTGCCACCATGCCCAGCTAATTTTTGTATTTTTAGTAGAGATGGGGTTTCACCATGTCCAGGCTGGTCTCAAATTCCTGACCTCAGGTGATCCACCCGCCTCGGCCTCCCAAAGTGCTGGGATTACAGATGTGAGCCACTATGCCTGGCCTTTTTGTAATTTTTTAAAAATAGAGACAGGGTTTCACCATGCAGGCCAGGCTGGTCTGGAATTCCTGACCTCAGGTGATCCTCCCACCTCGGCCTCCTATAGTGCTGGGATTATAGGCATGAGCCACTGCACCCAGCCTGATGATAGTTTCTTTTGCTGTGCAGAAGCTCTTTAGTTTAATTAGATCCTATTTGTCAATTTTGGCTTTTGTTGCAATTGCTTTTGGCATTTTTGTCATGAAGTCTTTGCCCATGCCTATGTCCTGAATGGTATTGCCTAGGTTTTCTTCTAGGGTTTTATGGTTTTGGATTTTATATTTAAGTCTTTAATTCATCTCAAGTTAATTTTTGTATAAGGTGTAAGGAAGTGGTCCAGTTTCAGTTTTCTGCATATGGCTAGCCAATTTTCCCAGCACCATTTACAGAATAGGAGATCCTTTCCCCATTGCTTGTTTTTGTCTTGTTTGTTGAAGATCAGATGGTTGTAGATGTGTGGTGTTATTTCTGAGGTCTCTGTTCTGCTCCATTGGCTTATATGTCTGTTTTGGTACCAGTGCCATGCTGTTTTGGTTACTGTGTGCTGATTTTAAAGACAGGATTCCAAGTGTGAAGTAGAAAAATAAGAATGTTTATAATTAATTCTGTAAGTGGATAGATCTAAAGTTGAAGGTACATCAGAAATACTGTATTTTTTACTTGAGTTCATTTTTTGGATTTTGTAACATCCTACAGCTGTGGAGCGCAGAAACTAATGTTAGAGTTCTCTTGGGTAAAGTGTGAATATAGGTATTCTTGAGGAGGAGGAACTGAACTGGTCTTAAAGGATATGAGAGCAAAGAGGAAGTGGGAGAGGAAGGGAGGAAACTGAACAGAATTAGGACAGTTAATAGATCAAGAAATATGTATTTTCACAGCTCCAAGAGGGCAGCATATTTCATTTGCAGAATGTATAGTATTGTTTCAAAAGGTTCACTTAAAATATAATTTCATAGATACATCAGGACATTAAATGATTTATTTACTTGTGGAGCTATTCAGCAGTGGATTATGGCAGACATTTAGTGGATTAGGGGACTATTACCAGACGGTAAACATTTGTTTTATTTAACTGTTTCATATTTTTAAGATCATTTTCTTCACGAATGCGTATTCATTTTAGATAAAGTATATGTGATTTTAATAAAAATTTCATTTATTTTCATCATAACCATAGAGGATAAGAGTACAGCCTCTGAAGTTAGACCTGCTTCCAGCTCTGACACCAAATAACTGTATAATCTTGGGCAAGTTACTTTAATTCTCTTCAGCTTCTGTTTCCTTATGTGTGAAATGGGGAAATATTAGCTAGTTCCTAGTGTTGTTATATGTAATATAAAGTGCTTAGCACAGTGACTTCTGCTTAGTGTAAGTGCCTAATGTTACCTGTTGTTTTAACTTGGTTCAGTGAGAAATTTCAAACTAACCTAACATAGTTCTTATTTTGGTCTTTGTTTTACACCGTGACTGGAAAGGAAATTAGCCTTTTGCCCTTAATTTTTAATCTTACCATCGGAATAATCTATATAAGAAGGCTGAAAAGTAGGGTAGTACAGACCCACAATCCCACTGGGCTCAATTTCCAAATTTGTTTTTAACATTCTCAAGGGGCCTATGAAAATGTTTAGTGAAGCCTTCTTTAAAGTGTGGTTTATCTTGGGCCAGCCCCACAGTTGGTGATGGCCTTGGGCCTGAGACCCTTCCAGGATGGGCCTGGTGATGGTATCAGTGATAATGAGGTAACCATGATAACATGTAACAACTTGTAGTGTAGGGCTTGGCACTTAGTAAATATTGATGATTGATGGCTGCTGTTTTAATTTTCATAATAAATATGCACATTTATATCAAAATGTAAGTTTTAAATTGTAAGAACATAAGCAGTTTCCATGTTATTATGTGGTCTAACTGAACTTGATCACAAAATAGCTTTATTGAGATTTAATTCACATATCATATGAATTTGATTTTAAGTGGAAGCATGATACTTGGCTTAGTATATTCCTTTATTTTTGGACATTCATTTTTAGTTTTTTTCAATGATTACTAATGCTGCCATATCTTTGTAATTAAAGCATTTCCCACATTTACTGTTATTTCCTTATGACAGATTCCCAGAAATGAAATTATTGCTTTATAGGATATGAATGTTGGTGGGACTCTTGATATATGTTTTCACAGTGCCTTCTGAAGAGTGATACCAATACGTATTCCCATGGGCTGTACCTGCAAGCACCCTATTTAATTCACCTTTGCTAGCCCTGGGTATTGGCCAGTGTTTTGTTTTGTTTTGTCTTTGAGACAGGGTCTGGCTCTGTTGCCCAGGCTGGAGTGCAGTGGCGGGATCTCAGCTCACTGCCATCTCAGCTCACTGCAACCTCCTTCTCCTGGGCTCAAGCCATCCTCCCACCTCAGCCTCCCGCTGGGACCAACTAATTTTTTTGTAGTTTTTATTGAGGCAGGTTTACACCATGTTTCCCAGGCTGGCCTCAAACTCCTGAGTTCAGACGATTCGCCCCCACTCAGCCTCCCAAAGTGCTGGGATTACAGGCATGAGCCACTGTGGGTAGCCTCGTTTTCTTAATTATTAGTGATGTTAACATTTATTAACTACTTTTATTTCTTCTGTTTCTTCTTTCGTAGATTATTTATTTGAGGTCTTAGTGTTTTCGTTATCTATTTTAATAGCCCTATGTACATTAAAAATATCAACTGCTTATCATGTGTTGTGATTTTTCCCCATTTACCTTTTAAGTTTGTTTTCAAGGAAGTTTTAAATATTTGTTATATAGATGATATAGAATCTGCTTATTCTTTCTTTTGTTTTCTTGTATGGCTTCAAAACTTAAAAGTTGTCTTTGTTTCAAAGAGGTGATGTTTTACTTGAAAGTGAAGCATCTGTCTGAATTTCTTTCCCTCTGTACTTTTTATTCATGTCAAGTAAATAGTTTTGCTGTAATATTTAGTTCTGATATGAGACAGATGACAATAGGCTAAATATTATCAGTCCCCCTGGGACCCCTTATAGGAATGCAGGCTGAGTCACAAGCTATTCTTAGGTATTTTTATCCCCCTTTGTGTGGGTGAATTGTCTTGTTCAGAGTTGTTGACTATTCTTCAAAAATTGGTTTGATTTAAATCTTCAATAGAATTTGAGTACTAACCACTTCAGTATTAGTTTGCTATTCCTGTCCTTTTATGTCTCCTGGCTTATTGGTTGATTTTTTTGAAGGCTAAACTCAATATTTATAAAAATCTGAGCTTATAATTTGTGTTTAAAAATCTAAACTGAGGTTGCTAAATTGCAGAACTAGAATTAAGAACTAAGTTTGTATAGAGAAGTTATCCTCTTTGAGGCTTTTAGGTCTTAATGCTTTGTATATTTGGGACCCTAAGCCTCTAGATAGAAATGATAACTTTTTTCTCAAATATTGATTAAAGTGAGAAAAACATGTCCTTTTATTAATAATTGGCACAACTCTAATTTGTTTCAGTAAAACAAATTAGATTAGTGATTAGTGATTGTGATTACAACTAAAAGTTGATTAGTGATTATAATTAAAATAATGTTGAAATAATTGTTGTAATAATCATAATTTATGGACACCTTCTATGTGCCAGATGTTTTCCAGACATGACATCTAAGCCTTAAAATAACCTGGCATTTAGGTACGATTACAGTAGTACTTTGCTTGTCTGCAAGGAATACATTCCAAAACCCCTAGTGGTTGCTTGAAACCATGGATGGTACAGAAACCTATATACACTATGTTTTTTCCTATATATACATACCTATGATAAAGTTTAATTTATAAATTAGGCACAGTAAGAGATTAATAATAATAAAATTGAACAATTATAACAATATACTGTTAACAATTTCACAGATATAAGACTTGTTCTTACTGTAGATCTTAGCAACCTCAGCATACAATTTTTTCCCTTCTATATTAAGTTGAGAACTTTCACCTTTTCACTTGAAGGAAGTGGCTTCTCCTTGGCATATCCGAATTGCCAGCCTCACTACTCTTGCACTTTGGGGTCATTATTAAGTAAAATAAGGGTTACTTGAACACAAGCACTGTGATACTGTGACAGTCGGTCTGATAACTGAGACAGCTACTAAGTGACTAATGGGCAGGCAGCATAGACACAGTGGATACACCCTGGACAAAGGGATGGTTTTCATCCTGGTTGGGACAGATGCGGGCAATGCAGGATTTTACCATGCTACTCAGGATGGTGCACAATTAAAAATTTATGAATTGTTTATTTCTGGAATTATCCATTTTGTATTTTGAGACCATGGTTGACCACAGGTAACTGAAACTTCAGAAAGTGAAACTGCAGATAAGGGGGTCTACTGTATCCACATTATTTGGTTAGGAAATTGAAGCTATGTCATGTGCAAGTCCACAAAGCTAGGAAGTACTTGCACTGGGATTCAAACTCAAGTTGCTGGGTTTGTCTTCTGTGCAGTTGAAAGAATGCTAACCTGTGCTTATTAAAGAATATTTTAGTGCCTACCATGTGAGTGACTGCTGGGCACTAGGTATATGAAGTTAAAGAGCCATTCAGGAGCTCACAGTCTAATAGAAGCGGGGCAGGCGTGAAAACAAAAGTAACAATACTAGCTGGTATGTAGTTTAATGAGATAATACAAGACAAAATGGGACTGTGGCAAAGGAAGCTATTATTAGTAGAAGTGTCACTCAGAAGGCAGGTAGTTCCACAGGTGCAAAGAGAGGAGGCATGGGAATAAGATCAAGTGGAGGTGGAGGTGGGGAGGTTGAAATACCTGGTAGGGTAGGCGGAAGATAGAGCCTAAAACACCTTGTATGTCACGTGAATAGATTTTTTAAAAACAGCTTTATTGAGATACATATTGTAAAATTCACCCTTTTAAAGTTTACAGTTCAGTGTTTTTTAGTATATTCACAGACTTGTGCAACCAGTATCACTATCTAATTTTAGAACATTTTCGTCGTTCTTAAAAGAACCTCCTATACCCAATGGCAGTCACTTTCCATCTCCCTCAACACCGCTAGCTCTAGGTAGCCACTAGTCTACTTTCTGTGTCTATGAAATTGCCTATCCTAGACATTTCATATAAATGGAATTATACAATATATGGTCTTTTGTGACTCACTTCTTTTACTTACCATAGTGTTTTCAAGATTCATCAATGTTATAGCATAGATCAGTACTTCATTCCTTTTTATGGCCAAATAATATTTTATGGATTATATGGATATACCACATTTTGTTTATTGTTTATTCATTCATCCATCTGTAGTTGATGGACATTTGCTTCCACTCGGTTGCTTCTACTTTTTGGCTATTGTGAATAATGCTGCTGTGAGCATTTGTGTACAGGTTTTGGGACATGTTTTTATTTATCTTGGGTTCATACTGAGGGGTGGAATTGCTGACTTAACATGGTAACCTATGTTTAACATTTTGAGGAAATTCTGAATTGTTTTCCAAAGCAGTTGATCTATTTTATATTCCCACCAGCAATGTATGTGGGTTCCAGTTTAGGAGGTTAATTTTATACTATTGGTGAGCCATTACTCAGAATCACAGTGGAAAAATTGTTGAAAATTATTGGCTTAGATTAATGCTTCCTCAGTATGGTCCAAGACACTCACTAGATCAGAAGCTTTTCCTAATGGATCATGAACCAGAAATACAAGCCGTCTCCTCAGTTCTCAGGGGCTATTGTTATTCCATTCCCATAACCTCTGATATTTATGTATTAGAATAGGCTACCTACCAATAATCTGAGTTACTAAGGATTACTGAAATTTAGTATTCACAACTAAAATTAGCTGGTTTCTAGAACTTACCGAGGGCTCTAGTTTAGTTTTCTTCTAAGAAATCTGTCAGCTATACCATGCTTTGGCAGCACTAGAAAATTAGTACTATGCATGCCCACACTCAGAAGATATTTTCACTACATCAGTGGTGTTGTCTCAAATTGGCTGTGGTTCCAGTTGCTGTTATTTTTGGATTAATACAATTGTAGAATTAATGTTACATTTAAATTTTTGTGGACCGTTTTGCTCTTGTGTACTTGTTACATTGCTACAATTCTTCCTTAGGGAGTTATTTTTGCACTAGAAAATGGGAGGAGGTAGGTAGGCTGGATCTCTTGTCTTACTTAGGTGGGTGATGGTTAGAATAGTTTGGGAATGAGGCTGCTGCTCGGCCTATGGAGTAGCCATTCTTTTATTCCTTTAAAAAAATAGTTTGGGAATGAGTGGATTACATAATTGGAAGGGTCTTTCCCACTTCATTATCTTTTTTTAAGAATGAGGGTTTGTGTATGTTATCATTAAACATTTAAGCTATGGAACACATGAACTGTCTGAAAGTCTACAGTTGGCTTTGGATGTGTGAAACCTTCAGAATTATGTGCCATATTTTGTACATTTGTGTTTTTCCAGGGAGAACAACCATAGGTTTTATCAGATTAAAATAAAAAAGTCTATGACCACTCAAATTAAATAATTCAGGTTGATGAAAAGAATTTGTAAATTTGTGGTTTGAAATATTTGGGGGAAGTGAGACCTTGCTTTGGTTAGGTGGTGTTGTGAGTGAAGGATGTTTTCTGGGTATGCTATTGGTTTTAGTGTAACAAATTCCATGTTACAATATCTCTATTTTATTTTTTCCTGGTAATTTTTTTCCCTGTTAGATTTTGGAGTTTGCTTTAAAAAAATTCTCATTGCATATTGATGATGATGATAATGATGATGATGATGATGATTATTGTTGTTGTAGAGACAGAATCTCACTATGTTGCTCAGACTGGTCTCAAACTCCTGAGCTCAAGCTGTCATCCTGCCTTGGCCTCCAGCAGTGCTGGGATTACAGGGGTGAGCCACTGCAACTGGCCCACATTTATTATTATTTTATGTTTGCTTTCTTGGATGATTCTTTTGATATTATATTCAAAAGTGCTATTTTTTTTGCAGCGATAGTATACTTTATTTGTAGTAATTGAAGTATATTGGTAATTTTTTAAAAAACTTCAAATTGGCTTGATAGCATAGGAAAATGGACGAATGCTTTTCTGCCCGTTAGCTGCTACTTTGAATTTCTTTACTCTTTTATTCTGTTAGCCTTTTGGTTGAGATGTGAAACTACCAATCACAGATAAAAGTTATTCCCATGCAGGCCCTTATGGGGTATGGCATCAGCTTAGATGCCAGGCTCTGTCTGCCCCTGCAATAGGGTGTGTTTGTTGTAGTGTACTTTTCCTCTGTAGTTTTTAGCACTGGATGTAGCATGACTGGATTTGAGATGAAATGGTAATTTCAGTTAAATGCTTTTAGTAAAAGAGACTTGTTATTTATTATTGTTTATAATAGACTGAAAAATAGACAAGGGCTGCCGGGTGCTGTGGCTCATGCCTGTAATCCTAGCACTTTGGGAAGCTGAGGCGGGTGGATCACTTGAGGTCAGGAGTTCGAGACCAGCCTGGCCAACATGGTGAAACTTTGTCTCTACTAAAATGTCTCTACAAAAAGTACAAAAAATTAGTTGGGCATGGTGGCAGGCACCTGTAATCCCAGCTACTTGGGAGGCTGAGGCAGGAGAATCGCTTGAACCCAGAAGGTGGAGGTTGCAGTGAGCTGATATCGCGCCACTGCACTCCAGCTTGGGCAAAAAAAAAAAAAAAAAAAAAAATCATAGTATTTGAAAAACTAGTTGTAAGTTTACCATAGCCTTCTCTTTACTGAAGAGTAAGATCTTTACTGAGATCTTAGTATTTGTTTTTCACTTTTAATTTTTATTTATTTTTATAGATATAGGGTCTCACTGTTGTCCAGCTGGAGTTCAGTCTCATGTTCATAGCTCACTGTAATCTCGAACTCTTGGGTTCAAGTGATCCTCCCACCTCAGTTTCCTGAGTAGCTAGGACTATAGATGCACACCACCCATCACACCCAGCTAATTTTAAAATTATTGGTAGAGATGGGGTCTCACTATGTTCCTAGGCTGGTCTTGAACTCCCAGCCTCGAATGATTCTCCCGCGTTGGCCTCCCAAAAGCGCTAGGATTACAAACATTAGCCACCGTGTTTAGCCTTATCTGTTTTTAATTGTTTAACATTTTGGTATATGTGGTTCATGTAAGATTAAAAAAAAAAGAAAACCCAAATTTACATTCATATTCTACAATTTTTTTTTTGAGATGACATTTCGCTCTTATTGCTCAGGGTGGAGTGCAATGGTGCGATCTCAGCTCACCGCAACCTACGCCTTCTGGGTTCAAGCGATTTTCCTGCCTCAGCCTACCGAGTAGCTGGGATTACAGGCATGTGCCACCACGCATGGCTAATTTTGTATTTTTAGCAGGGACGGGGTTTCTCCATGTTGGTCAGGCTGGTCTCGAACTCCCGACCTCAGGTGATCCACCTGCTTCAGCCTCCCAAAGGGCTGGGATTACGGGCGTGAGCCCCAGTGCCTGGCCTACAATTTGTATTTTTTTTTTAATTACATTATATAATAAACATATCCTATCTCCTATAGCCTTGAAATTGTCATTTGTAATAGGTAAATAATATTCTGAGTGAATGTAACTTTAATTTTTTGCTTCTTTCTCTATTTTTGGATAAATTAGCTTATTTGTATTTTTTCTAATATTGGTAAAACTGTACTATGCATCCTTGCAATCTATTTTTGTTCTTTAGATATTTTCTTAAGATAAATTTCTGCTGGTTGCGGTGGCTCACGCCTGTAATCCTAGCACTTTGGGAGGCTGAGGTCGGCAGATCACAAGGTCAGGAGTTCAAGACCAGCCTGGCCAATATGGTGAAACCCTGTCTCTACTAGTACAAAAAAAATTAGCTGGGCGTGGTGGCGGGTGCCTGTAGTAGCAGCTACTCGGGAGGCTGAGGTAGGAGAATCACTTGAAACCGGGAGGTGGAGGTCGCAGTGAGCCGAGATCATGCCACTGCACTCCAGCCTAGGTGACAGAGCGAGACTCCATCTCAAAAAAAAAAAAAAAAAAAAAAGATAAATTTCCATGTGGATCAAGTGGGTATTTTGTTTTTAATGAATGTGGTCAAAATTAGAGGCACATATTTACCTATACTCTTCTACTTCTGAGGTATTTGCTTTTTATAAAATTGATAGGCTTATTTTTTAAACAGTTTTAAATTTACAGAAAAATGGAGCGAGTAGAACAGAGTTCCCATATATCCCTTCATGTACCCCACACATAGTTTCCACTATTATTAATATCTTATATCAGTATGGTACATATGTTAGGAATAATGAACAATACTGATTGTATTATGATTAACTGAAGTCTATGCATTATTTCAGTTTCCTTAGTTTTTATTTAATATCCTTGTTCTGTTCCAGGTCACCACATTACATTTAGCTGTCATGTCTCCTTAGGCTCCTCTTAGTTGTGACAGTTCCTTAGACTTTCCTTGTTTTTGATGACTTTGACAGTTTTGAGAGGTTACTGGACAGATATTGTAGGAGATATATAAATATATTGTAAGTATATTGGAATTTGATGATTTGTCATGCTTGGACTAAGTTAGTGAATTTTTAGGAGGAAGATGACAAAGGCAAAATGATACTTTCATCTTATCAAGAGCACATACTGTCTGCATGCTTTATGACTGTTGATGTTGACCTTGACCAGCTGGCTAAAGTAGTGTTTGTCAAGTTTTTCCTCTCTACAGTTAATCCCCCACCCTCCTTTCTGTGCTATACTCTACGTAGCCTTCTGCCTTTCCATCTTTGTGGGCTGGGATACAGTCTTAGAGGTCATAGAGATAAGAAGGGTAGACACTGCTAGACATCGCAAGTGGTGGTGGTAGAAGGGTAGCGCAAACAATTTGGACTCATATCCATTTCTTCACTCCAAAATAAAATCCACGTAGATCAAATATATACATAAAACCCTTAAATCATAGAGGTACTAGAATAAAATATAGGACAATTTTCTGGTATAAGACCTGGTATGAGACAGGCCTTTCTTTGTATGACAAGACACTCACTAGTCATAAAAGAAAGACCAACAAATTTAAATTGGTATAATGAAAGATGCCCTAAAATTAAAAGACAAACAAGCTAGATTAAAAGCATTTATAGCATATGTTACAGGTAAAAGCTTACTATTAATATAATATCTATTATTGTAATGCATAGAAAAAGATCCGTGGATACAGGTCATGTTGTTAACAGCACTGGGTATTTTCAGAGACTGATGGGGAAGGATGGTCAAAAGAATTGGCTTTATTTGTATGTTTTAAGTTTTTACAATGAGAGTATTAATGTATTATGTGTCTATTAAAAAATAAATTTTGATCTACCCATCCTGTTGAATATTATGTAGAATCGAATGTGGTATTTCTGATGGGTATTATCTTAGAAGAAGGTTTAGACAATGTAAAATACATATGGGTATATATACGTTTATATAATATGTAAAAATAGGCTGTGAGAATGTACTTCAGTGGCTGATATGGTTATCTTGGAGATGGTACTGTGAGTGAGGTAATAAAGAATGACTGTCATGTTTTGCTCTTCATAATTGTACATTATTTGAAGCCTTTGCTTTTAAATTATTTGTACAGTAAAAATAAAAACATAGGGGAAAAAAGGCTGAAATGGGGGAAATCTGAGCTCTCACATATAAAGATCCTATAGAACCACACTATCCCATACAGTAGCCTTTAATATGTGGTTAATCAGCACTTGAAATGTGGCTAGTTCTATATTGAGAAGTACTCTAAGTGTATAATAAGTGTAAAAGCTGGAGTTTGAAGACAGTACAAAAATGTAAAATGTCATAAGAATTTTTATACTGATCATATGTTGAGGTGATAATATTTAGATATGAACTAATTAAAATATATTAATACAGATTTTACCCGTTTATTTTTACTTTTTATTTATTTTTTTGAAATGTAGTCTCACTCTATTATCCAGGCTGGAATGCACTGGCGCAATCTGGGCTCACTGCAACCTCTGCCTCTCAGATTCAAGCGATTGTCCTGCCTTAGCTTCCTGCGTAGCTGAGATTACAGGTGCCCGCCACCACGCCCAGCTAATTTTTATATTTTTAGTAGAGATGGAGTTTTACCATGTTGGACAGGCTGGTCTTGAACTCCTGACCTCAGGTGATCCACCTGCCTCAGCTTCCCAAAGTGCTGGGATTACAGGCGTGAGCCACTGCACCTGGCCTAATTTTACTTTTTAAAATGTGGCTACTAGAACATTTAAAATTACATTATGTAGTTTGTGTTGCATTTCCATTGAACAGCATGCTATAGAAAATGGGCAAAATAAATGAATAGGCAATTCATAGGAGAAATATACATGATAGATATATGAAAAATGCTGAGTTCCCTAATGATCAGAGAAATGAAAATTTAGAAAAAATTTGCCTCTCAGGTTGGCAATACATAAAATAATTGTTCATACCAAATATTGGCAAGATTATACAGAAACAAGTATGTTTACACACCAATGGGAATATAAAATGGTACTATTAATAAATTTTGGAAAGCAACTTGATACCCATTAATTCTACTTCTAGAAGTATTGTCCTACCTAAATACTCAGTATATATATGAGGATGAGGATGTTCAAAGTAGTATGGTTTGTTAGGCAAAAAACTGGAAACCGTCTTAATGTCCACCAGTGGAAGATAGCTTAATTTCTGGTATATCCATATAATAAAATGCTGTACACCTATTTAAAAGGATATGATTGATGTATTATATATTGCTATGGAAGGATATCTGTAATATGTGTAATGAAAATAATAGAATATTAATTGGCTAGCATAATTTTATTTGGGTTTGAAAAATAACATGTTTGTTTATATATGCATAAAATAAATCTGGAAAAACAAATACCAAACTGTTAACTGTGGTAATCAGGACTGGGTCTTCAGGTTCACCCCTCCTCCCCTGTCTGTGGAGTCCGCTTAGTAAGTTTTTCATGTTTGAGATTTTTGTGGAGCATGTGCTTATAAATTACATTTATTTGGAGAGGAAAGCTTAGTTAAGGGAAATAATGTTTGTGGAAAATTGCTTAGAGGAAATGGAGTATATTACTGGTATAGGTACTCTAAAATGTCTTTTGAATTAAGTCAGAGTTAGAGGGTTGTGTCTCTAAACCGCATCTTATTGGTATTATGCTATCAGCCTGTATTGAGAGACTTTATAGGTAAAGTCCAATTTAGGCTGTTTGGTATTATCTATTAAAATTAGAATGTTCATGCTCTCTAACCTGCTACTTCCACTTCTAGAATTTATCTTTGGAAGCACATATCTGTCCACAGACCTATATTTACACACATGTATGAAGAATGTTTATTGTAGCATTAATTGTAACATTTGTTAAAATGAACATGAAGGGAAACATTCTAGGCAGTGGTTACAGTACAAGCAAAAGCAGAGTAACTAGTGTGGTCTGGAAAAATAGAAGATTACTTATTCACTGTGAAAAATTGGTAACATGAAAAAAGCAGAACAATGAAGTATGACTTCATTTGTGTAAAAGTGGTATTTGCTAGTGTATAAATAGGAAATATCTGGAACAATCTATTCAAAACTGCTAATGATTGTTTTCTTGGTAATGGACTTTCACTTTCTATTATATATATATTTTTTAATGTTTAATTTTTCAGGTTGTTTTAAGGATCTTATGCTAATTGACATTTGTATCAGCTAGGCATTAACATTGTACTTATTTTTGTATCTATTGTTATGGTTCCTTGCATTGTTGTTAGCCTTTCACTTTTTTTTTTTTTTTTGAGATGGGGTCTCACTCTGTTACTCAGGCTGGAGTACAGTGGCACGATCTTGACTCACTGCAACCCCCATCTTACAGACTCAAGCAGTCCTCCCTCCTCAGCCTCCTGAGTACTTGGGACCACAGGCACATGCCACCTCGCCTGGCTGATTTTTTTTATTTTTGGTAGAGAGGGGTTTCACTGTGTTGCCCAGGCTGGTCTTGAACTCCTGAGCTCAAGGTGATCCACTTGCCTCGGCCTCCCAAGTGCTAGGATTACAGGCATGAGCCACTGTGCCAGGCCAGCCCTTCACTATTTCATGTGAGTAAGTAATCTTCTATTTTTCCAGACCACACTAGTTACTCTGCTTTTGCAGAGTAACCTCTGCCTAGAATGTTTTCCTTCACATTCATTCATTTTAACAAATGTTTTGATGTGTAGGGCCTAAGCTGATTTGAATGCAAGCTGAAATGCACATATCTGGTTGAGTCATGGGAACTGATTTGCATGTGTCTTTCTCTTTTATGGCTTGAAGAGGAGAGAAATTTGTGCTTAGACACTTGAGGGCCTACGAGATCAAGGAGTCTGTCCTTAGCTCTGCCCTTTGGACTGTTGTCTGAGCCTAAAGAAGAGAGACAAAGAAAGCTTGCATTGGGAGGCTGAGGTGGGAGGATCACTTGAGCTTAGGAGTTTGAGACCAGCCTGGGCAACATAGGGAGACTGCACCTCTATAAGAAATTTTAAAAATTAGCCGGGCTTGGCAGCGTGCTCTTGTGGTCCCAGCCGCTTGAAAAGCTGAGGTGGGAGAATCACGTGAGCCTGGGAGGTCGAGGCTGCAGTGCACCGTGATTATGCCACTGCACTCCAGCCTTGGCAACATTGACTGTCTCAAAAAGATTATATATCTCTAAAAGAAAAAAAAATGGTAGAAGAAAATCTGTACCTTCTCAATCGCTCTTTCTTCTGCTTCTAAACTTATGTATGCCTTTGTTCATTCTTACTCCCCTTCCTGAACTTCATTCTTAGAGACAGAAATATCTGTCCCAGGTTCTAACTTCGTGTTCTAGAGCTGTCTACTACTTCTTTTTCTGGCCCTAACTTCCATTAGGTAACTTCTCTCCCATCTCCTTTTTGTAAATTAAATCTTTATTTCTTTTTTTTGTCTAAAAATAGTTTTGTTCTGTCACCTAAAAACTAAAGCCTTATAATAACTCTGCCTCCCTTTCTTAAATCTTACCTTTTTTCCTATGTATTTTTTGAGAGGAAATCTTGCTCTGTCGCCCAGGCTGGAGGGCAGTGGTGCGATCTTGGCTCCCTGCAACCTCCACCTCCCAGGTTCAAGCTATTCTCCCGCCTCACAGGCACTCACCACCATGCCCGGCGCATTTTTGTATTTTTAATAGAGACAGGGTTTCACCATGTTGACCGTGAGACCGGTCTCCTGACTTCATGTCATCTGCCTGCCTCAGCCTCCCAAAGTGCTTGGATTATAGGTGTGAGGCACCACACCCAGGCTCTTCCCCTTATTTTAAACATTTATTGCCTAATCTACTTCAATTTGGCTTCTATAGCCATCACTGTGCTAGAACTACACTCACTCCAGATTGCCAACACTAATAGCTGAGTCTTAACTTCTGTGACAATACCATTTTCTCCTTGAAACTCTTAACTCTGTATCCCGATTTCTCGTGTTTCTGAACCTCTGTTTCTGACTATTCTTGTCTCTTTTTTCTTATACATGATTTCCCTGGATAATGTCATTCACCCACATGATTACAACTACTCCCAATCCCTAATGACTACGAAATCTGGGTTTCTAGATAGAGTGTTCACTATATCTTGGACACTTCCATCTAGATGTCTTTGTAGGTGGATCAGATTAGGTGTGCTCAAAATTGAACATTTTGTTGTTCATCCCTCAAATCTAATATCTAGATTCCTACTTTCTTAGAGCTTCTATCTTGGTTAATATTACTGCTCTACAGTCACCCAAGATAGAAACCCATCTGTGATGCTCCTCTTTCATCTTCCACATTTAGCTGACCAGAAAATCCTGTCTATTCTACCTTTGAAATACCTCTTCTCCATTGCTCAAGTTCAAGTTCTCACCACCTGGACTATGCCAGTCACTTCATAATTGGTGTGTTTGTCTCAAGACTCAAAATCCAGTTTGTTCCTATACTGCTTGTCAGAGTTGTCTTCCTCTCCTCTTAAAAGACCAGTCTTCTTATATATTTTTTTATATGTACTTTCCCTGGATAATGTAATTCACTGACATTACAAGTATTCCCAATCTCTGATAACTACCAAATGTGGGTCTCTAACTAGAACATATACTATATGTGTGTGTGTGTGTGTGTTTTTTTTCCTTTTTTGAGAACACAGGATCTATAATGACACAACTTATAGACCAAATGCTGAACAAAAGAGACACAACGGGCTACATAATTCCATTCATATGAAGTACCTTAGCAGACAGAACGAATCTATGGTATTAGAAGTTGGGATCATGTTTCCCTGGTGGGACAGAGGCTGGAAGGGAGCATGAGGGGACTTTGGGGACTGCGACGATTTTGACTTTCTTCATCTTGATGCTGGGTAAACAAGTACATTCAACTTTTTTTTTTTTTTGAGATGGAGTTTCGTTCTGTCACCCAGGCTGGAGTGCAGTGACGTGATCTCAGTTCGCTGTAACCTCCACCCCCCGGGTTCAAGCGATTCTCCTGCCTCAGCCTCCCAAGTAGCTGGGACTACAAGCGTGTGCCACCATGCCTGGCTAATTTTTGTATTTTTAGTAGAGATGGGGTTATACCATCTTGGCCAGGGTGGTCTCAAACTCCTGACCTCAGGTAATCTGCCGCCTCGGCCTCCCAAAGTGTTGGGATTTCAGGCGTGAGCCACCGCGCCCTGCCAAGTACATTCAACTTTATACTGTGTTTTAAATACTGGCTCTCCATGACTTGCACAGCAATGTCCAAAATCAATAGCATGACTTACTGTTTGTCTTAAATTGTGTGATCTTGGTTACTTAATCTCTTTGGCTTCTACTTGTTTTTTTTTACATTATTTTATTTTAGAGACACTGTCTCACTTTGTTACCCAAGCTGGAGTGCAGTGACATAATCATAGCTCATTGTAACCTTGAACTCCCGGGCTCAAATGATCCTTTCACCTCCTGAGTAGCTACTTCCTGAGTAGCTAGAACTACAGGTGTGTGCCACCATGCCCAACTAAGTTTTTAATTTTTTGTAGAGAAAGAGTCTCCCTGTGTTGCCCAGGCTAGTCTTGAGCTCCTAGGCTCAAGTGATCCTCCCACTGTGGCCTCCCAAAGTGCTGGGATTGCAGGCATGAGCCGTGAACCACACCTGACCTATTTAGTTGTTTCTGAAATGAAGAGGATGGAATTCAGTGTGTTGTCATTTATCTTTAAGAAAAAATCAGGTGAAATCTTACAGAGAAGCTTCAATATATAAAACACAAAAACAGAGCTAGTCTCACTGAAGTTGGTATCCCTTCCAACCTTCCCTCTTTCCTCCCTACCCCACCTCTGTTGTACCTCCTTGAAACTTTTAGAACTCCAAGGAGCGTAATTTGAAGACTACTGGGTTTCTAAAGGTTTAACTCTTTTTTTTTTTTTTTTTGAGACGGCGTCTCACTCTGTCGCTCAGGCTGGAGTGCAGTGGCGCAATCTCAGGTCACTGCAACCTTCGCCTTCCAAGTTCAAGTGACCCTCCCACCTCAGCTTCCTGAGTAGCTGGGACTACAGGCATGCACCGCCACACCCGGCTAATTTTTGTGTTTTTTGTAGAGATGGAGTTTCCTTGTGTAGCCCAGGACTCAAATGATCTGCCTGCCTTGGCCTCCTAAAGTGCTGGGATTACAGGTGTGAGCTACCACACCTGGCCTCTTGTACCTCTTAAGATGAAGTGACTTCTTTGAAATTACATCACTCTCAAATCGCACAGTTTTTGAATACGAGTAGGAGTGGTTTTGGTGTTACACTGGCTCTTGTGCTTTCCTTCTTTTAACTAGTCCTTCTCTCAGGCTCAGAAACTTCCTTTCTTTATAACAGAGCCTATCTGCACACTATACAATGTCATTCACTCCAAGGACACTTGGAGTTCACTCAGTTTGCCACCGACCTCATGTTAGATAATTCTTACACAAATATTACCTCCTTGATTACATGTACCTTACTTTGATTTACCTCTCAAGTAGTGTTCGTTCTGTTCTCTGGGTTCTCTTGGCATTCCCCAAATCCCTTTATTATTTATTATTATTTTTGTAGAGTTGGGGTCTTGCTGTGTTGCCTGGGCTGGTCTTGAACTTCTGGCCTCATCAATCCTCCTGCCTTAGTCTCTTGAGTTGTTGGGATTACAGGTGTGAGCCACTGCACCTGGCCAAGTCCCTTTATTATAATGACCATTCATGTTTGATGAATAAATGAATGGTAGAATGAAAGAATGAATGAATGCATAGGTGGAGAATATATGTATTCTGTAAATTTCATCTTACTGCAGAAACTATAAAGTAGCAGGTAATTTTGCTCCAGCTCTTCTCATGTCGATGAAAAGAACCAAACTCTCTAAAATATATGAAGAGATTTATTCTGAGCCAAATATGAGTGACCATGGCCCATGACACAGCCTTCAGGAGGTCCTGAGAACATGTGCCCAAGGTGGTCAGGGTGCAGCTTGGTTTTATACATTTTAGGGAGACAAGAGACTTCAATCAAATACATTTAAGAAATACATTGGTTCCATCCAGAAAGGTGGGACAACTCGAAGGGGAGGGTGGGATTCCAGTTTATAGGTAGATTTAAAAATTTTCTGGTTGACAATAGCTTGAGTTTATCTAAAGACCTGGGATCAATAGAAAGGAAAAGACTGGGTTATGTTGATAAGAGGTTATAAACACTAAAGTTTTATCATGCAGATGAAGCCTCTGGGTGGCAGGCTTCTGAGAGGATAGATGTAAATGCTTCTTATCAGACTAAGTCTGTGTTGATGTTAAGGCCAGTGAGGGTTTAATGAGTATGTCTGAACCCCACTTCCCATCACGGCCTGAACCAGCCTCAGGTTAAATTTTAACAGTGCCCTGGATGAGAAGGAAGTCCATTCAGAAGGTTGGGGGGCCTTAGAATTTTATTTTTGGTTTACATTCATAGAGAACTGACCTTGATCTCCTTGGGAACTAAATGAGACAGGAACACTTTTCTCAACTGATCAGCAAGTATAGTTTGGAAGTTGGCTGTGTGTACCTAGCACATGCTGGGAGTGGCAGAGACACTAGAGAAAGTTTTATAAAATATACCTGCAGGAAGCTGGGCATAGTGGTGCACACTTGTAGTCCTAGCTATTCGAGAGGCTGAGGCAGCAGGAGGATCTCTTGAGATCAGGAGTTTGAGTCTAGCCTGGGTAATGTAGCAAGACCATGTCTCTAGAAAAAAAAAAAAAAAAAAAAGCCAGGCGTGGTGGCTCACGCCTGTAATCCCAGCACTCTGGGAGGCTGAGGTAGGCAGATCACAAGGTCAGGAGTTCAAGACCAGCCTGGCCAACATGGTGAAACCCCGTCTTTACTAAAAATACAAAAAATTAGCTGGGCATGGTGGTGCGCGCCTGTAATCCCAGCTACTTGGGAGGCTGAGGCAGGAGAATCACTTGAACCCAGGAGGCTGAGGTTGCAGTGAGCCGAGATCATGCCACTGCACTCCAGCCTGGGTGATAGAGCGAGACTCTGTCTTAAAAAAAAAAATTACATATATATATATATATATATATATATATATATATATATTTTGTGTATACACACACACACACACACACACATACATACATATAGACACACACGCCTGCAGGAACATGATGATTGATGATTGTGCTTTTGAATGTCAGACCATTCGTCAAATTTATTTAATCAAAATGATTCAAAATATTGAATCATGAAGTAATTAAAAAACCTGAGCCGCCTTCCTCACTCTCGATAAAAAACCTTCAGAAGTCAATGGGAAATAAACCTTTCTTTAAAAGTATACTCAAAAAAAAAAAAAGAAAAGCCAAGTTACAGGAGAGCCATGTTGCACAACTCTGATTTCTGCAGGGTTTAATGGAAGTAGGTTGGAGCCTGTTCTGCTTCCTGCTGGTTTCCTTTCTGTATATTCAGTTCATCGTTGCCTCTCCCTGCTTGCTTTATTCACATCTTTTTTGGTATCTCAACCATATTATTTACCCAATTCATTTGTTCAGCAAATGTTTATCGAGTGTTTTCTTTGGAAGATCTGGTTTAGAAACCAGGCATATGGAGGTAAATAAAAATGGTCTCTCCCCAGGACATGTGAAACAGGCAATCATGAAATTAAAATAGTGTGATAAATGAGGTTATTGTGGTGTAAACAAGTGTATGGACACACATAGGAGATAGTGACTAACTACCTGGGAGGATAGAAGTCTTTCAAAGACAAGATGACATTTGAATTGGGAATCAAAGAAGGAGAAGAAAGTGTGATGACCATGACAAAGGGAGCACCTCTTTATGAAGGAGTAGAGGAGAGAACAAAAGTTACTGTTTCAAAAAAGATTGGTATACTTAGGACATATGGAAATGGAAAGTACCTGGAGTATGTGATACAGTGAGATACTGAAGAGGGCCGTATTTCATACTAAGAAGTTTGGACTTTAACTTGTAATCAGTGGAAGATTTTCTAAGCAGGAAAGGGGCATTAATGAGTGCTTTAAGAAAAAACTAGTAGCTGTGTGGAAGGGTCTCAAGCCAATAACATTTATTTAGGTTCTATTCATAATGTACAGTTAGTAAATATCCCAGGTGATATGAGTGGGCAAGTTGGGAAACTTTTTTTTTTTTTTTTTTTTTGAGACAGAGTCTCGCTCTGTGGCCCAGGCTGGAGTGCAGTGGCTCCATCTCGGCTCACTGCAAGCTCCGCCTCCTGGGTTCATGCCATTCTCCTGCTTCAGCCTCCCAAGTAGCTGGGACTACAGGTGCCCGCCACCATGCCTGGCTAATTTTTTTGTATTTTTAGTAGAGACGGGGTTCCACCATGTTAGCCAGGATGGTCTCGATCTCCTGACCTCGTGATCCACCTGCCTCGGCCTCCCAAAGTGCTGGGATTACAGGCTTGAGCCACCATGCCCGGCCAAGGGAAACTTTTAAGAACAGAGCACTGGGCTGGGCGTGGTTGCTCACGCCTGTAATCCCAGCACTTTGGGAGGCGGGCAGATCACCTGAGGTCAGGAGTTTGAGACCAGCCTGGCCAACATGGCGAAACCCCGTCCCTACTAAAAATACAAAAATTAGCTGGGCATGGTGGCAGGCACCTTAATCCCAGCTACTCGGGAGGCTGAGGCATGAGAATCACTTGAACCAGGGAGGCGGAGGTTGCAGTGAGCCAAGATGGCGCACTGCACTCCAGCCTGGGGGATAGAGTGAGACTCTGTCTCAAAAACAAACAAACAGCCCTGGAAGGCTGGGTGCAGTGGCTTTCGCTTGTAATCCCAGCACTTTGGGAGGCCAAGGTGGGAGGTTCACTTGAGCCCAGGAGTTGGAGACCAGCCTGGGAAATGTAGTGAGGCCGCATCTCTACAAAAAAATTTAAAAATTAGCTGAGCATGGTGGTACACGCCTGTAGTCCTAGCTCCTCAGGAGGCTGAGGTGGGCGGATTGCTCAAGCCCAGGTGGCAGAGGTTGCAGTGAGCTGAGATCATGTCTCTGCATTCCAGCCTGCGTGGCAGGGTGATACTTTGTCTTAAAAAACCAGAGCACTGGACATGTACATCAGAGATGTAGTTTCTGGGACCTTTGCTACTAACTTGTGATCTTTTACAAGTTTCTTAGTTTTCCCACCTTGAAAATTGAGGGTTTTGGACTAAATGATAATTGTAATTATTATTTTTTTAACATAAACTCAAGATTTTATTGTCTTTATAATAAAAGAAAAGATGACACTTAGAACTGGGTCACTTGGCCCTTTCTCTTATCTCTTCCCAGTTCAAAATGCTTGCATCTTTTTTTTTTTTTTTTTTTTTTTTTTTTTTTGAGACGGAGTCTCGCTCTGTCGCCCAGGCTGGAGTGCAGTGGCGCGATCTCGGCTCACTGCAAGCTCCGCCTCCCGGGTTCACGCCATTCTCCTGCCTCAGCCTCCCGAGTAGCTGGGACTACAGGCGCCCGCTACCACGCCCGGCTAATTTTTTGTATTTTTAGTAGAGACGGGGTTTCACCTTGTTAGCCAGGATGGTCTCGATCTCCTGACCTCGTGATCCGCCCGCCTCGGCCTCCCAAAGTGCTGGGATTACAGGCGTGAGCCACCGCGCCCGGCCAATGCTTGCATCTTTTAATAGCCAACATTCTCTTAGATCTGCAGTTGGGCTCAACGCACTCAAGCCTTAGCACAATCTTCTTTGTAGTTTTAGCCTTTTTCTGGAAAATCAGCTTAGTTTGCCCACCATAACCACTCTGCTTCCTGTATAACACCACTTTCCCTGGGCATACAGAGAATTCTTGCCCTTCTTGTACTGTGTCACTTTGCAGGGTTGGTGCTTGCCACACTTCTTACAGAAAGTCCTGCGGGTTTTAGGAATGTTCACCATGTTTGCATGAGCGCTATTGGCACGGAAAGTAATTGTAATTCTTTCTGTAACTGTGCTTCTTAACAAACAAAAACTTTAACCTTGGCTGGGCCAAGGGGTTTGGGGTTTGGCCAAGATGGTGAAACCCCATCTCTACTAAAAATACAAAAATCAGGCTGGGCACAGTGGCTGATGCCTGTAATCGCAACACTTTGGGAAGCCGAGGCGGGCGGATCACGTGAGGTCAGGAGTTCAAAACCAGCCTGGCCAACATGGCGAAACCTCCTCTCTACTAATAATACAAAAATTAGCTGGGCGCGGTGCTGGGCACCTGTAATCCCAGCTACTTGGGAGGCTGAGGCAGGAAAATTGCTTGAACCTGGGAGGCGGAGGTTGCAGTGAGCTGAGATCGCACAATTGCACTCCAGCCTGGGTGACAGAGGGAGACTCCATCTCAAAAAAAAGAAAAAAAAAAATTAGCCAGGTGTGGTGGCGTGCGCTTGTAGTCCCCGCTACTTAAGAGGCTGAGGCAGGAGAATCACTTGAACCCAGGAAGTGGAGGTTGCAGTGAGCCGAGATTGTGCCACTGCACTCCAGTCTGAGTGACAGAATGAGACTCTGTCTCAAAAAACAAAACAAAAAAACCCCTAAACCTTAATTAAGCGACTTTTCACTTATAATGGCTGTGACTTTTTCTGAGTCTTACTGACCGTTTGTAAAAGCAGGATTTCCTGCTTTTGTTCTAGCATTTCTACTTTTTTCTGTCTTAGTGTGAGTATATTTTCTACATTGTCTAAAGTACGTTTGGCAATTACTCCAAATGGCAACTGAATTATATTAAATTGAAGCAGTGTTCTTTGCCTTATGCCTACTATTTACCCAATATATTTTCTTGGTTTCTACAAAGGGAACAATGCCAGTTCTGCATTAATTTTTAATGAGCAGGAAAATCATATGAACATTCTAAAAACCATACATAACTAACAGTATTCAAAATACATGATGACTGCAAATTTGCCAAAATTGCCTGTCACTACATTTCATCCCCTGTGAAGAGTAGAAAGGGGTGTTTGTTGGATGCTGACTTCAGTTGCACTTGCCTGAAACAGGCGCCAGTCATGTACCTGGGGAGATGCTGGTTACCCTTTTCTTCCTTTCAGAGAGTTATACCAAGAGATAAGAAACAATTAGCACTCCCTAATTTATGTATGTGATTGATGCTGTCCAGTGTGTTGGGAGTCATCTCTGGCTTGTTTTTCTTCTCCTGGACAAATGTGCTAACAGTAAGTTCTCCTGCTGTTTGTAGGAACCTGTGACGCATTATCTCCATTTAAGAGAGGAAGAGGCAGATAAAGCCCATGGGAAGTTCATGGGCTTAAGAATTAGACAGGCTTGGGATTGCATTCTGGCTTCATGACATACTGAATTTGGGCAAGTAATTTAACCTCTTCAGTTTCTTCTGTGAAATGAGTACAGTATCATCTGCCTTGTGGGGATATTGTGAGAGGAGTATCCATATTATCAAAGGTGCCTAGCAGTATCTGGCACCTGGTAGATAAGTCTACAAGCTTGTCAGTGTCTGAAGCTCCTTCTGCAGAACCTGAAACATTGGATTCTCAATGAATACTCAGCATGACACAGTACATCTACTGTGATCAACAGAAGTGTATTGAATTAATGGTAAACAGTAAATGTTAATTTATTAATTGCTTTTTGAAAAATGTAAAACAAAGTTTTTGGTATCTGTTGCATTTTCAAAATTTCAATTATAATTGTTAAGTACTACTCTGCAAATAGACTAGTAGAATTGTTAAGCATTAGGTAATTATTCCACAGTGGGGCAGAGAGAATAGAAATGTAATAGATATGAAATGATATGTTTTAAAAGCTTATTGGTTCCAACAAAATATACTCCCATATTTAGATGTTACCACAGTTAATCAGATGTTACATACAATATAAATGTTACATATAATATGGTACCTATGTGCATGGGTGGCTAAATTCCACATACCAGATGATAAAGATTCTGTAATACTAGTACCTTCAGCTTTACCCAAGGGATTTGCCCTTATTGCCAGTAATATTATTAATATTTAGTTCATTCTCAGGTTTTATTTCAGAATTATGCCTGTGATTACTGAGCATCTACTATTTGGCATTCTTTTTTTTTTTCCCAAGCCAAACTGTATCCAGCTTTATTAAAGATACTTTCCGTAAACAATCATGGTATTTCAGGCAGGACATGGGCAGACAATCATTGAGTATACAACAATTTTCCTTTTTTTTTGAGACGGAGTTTTGCCCTTGTTGCCCATGCTGGAGTGCAATGGCCTGATCTTGGCTCACTGCAACCTCCACCTCCTGGGTTCAAGCGATTCTCCTGCCGCAGCCACCCAAGTAGCTGGGATTACAGGCATGTGCCCCACGCCTGGCTAATTTTGTATTTTTAGTAGAGATGGGGTTTCACCATGTTGGTCAGGCTGGTCTTGAACTCCTGACTTCAGGTGATCTGCCTGCCTTGGCCTCCCAAAGTGCTGGGATTACAGGCATGAACCACTGCGCCTGGCCACAACAACTTTCAAACTCCCTTCTTGAAAGCCACTCTAAAACCCAATGAAGTCTTCATCTGATGCTGTGAACAGGGAAAGTTTAGAGTGAGGGTTGACATTTCACATTTAGCATATTGTTTAACAACTTTTCCCAGCCGACCCTGACTTTCAGGAAGTGAAATGAAAATGGCAGAATTTATCTGAAGAACCACTGCTCTTTTGACAGGTGCCGTCTCAGTGGCATCACTGGAAAGTCCAGATTGCCTGACACACTGGTAACTAATGATTGGGGGGTCAGGTCTCAACAGATGTCTGGGTTTAAGGGAGTTAAGTCTCTGCTGAAGGACGGAAAGGGAGAAGAGGACATAAAAACAAATTTGTTTTCCATACCACAAGGCTTTTGTGCCAAGGTGGCCATGTGTGTTAAAGTCAGGGAATCCCTCCTCCTGGGAGCCAAGAGGAACTCTCTCAAAACTAGAAGGGAAAGGTGTTTCCTCCACATTAGTCCAGCTTCGGAGACATTCTATTAGTGACATATGGCCCTTCCCCCAAAAACAACAATGAAGTGTTCTGTGTGCTAACAACATAGCTTAAAAAAAAAAAAAGTAGGCTGGGCACAGTGGCTCATGCCTGTAATCCCAGCACTTTGGGAGGCTGAGGCAGGTGGATCACCTGAGGTCAGGAGTTCAAGACCAGCCTGGCTAACATAGTGAAACCCCATTTCTACTAAAAATACAAAAAATTAGCCGGGCGTGATGATGCGCAACTGTAATCCCAGCTACTTGGGAAGCTGAGGCAGGAGAATTGCTTGAACCTGGGAGGCGGAGGTTGCAGTCAGCCAAGATCGCGCCATTGCATTCCAGCTTGAGCAACAAGAGCGAAACTCTGCCTTAAAAAAAAAAAAAAAAAAAAGTGGCCGGGTGCAGTGGCTCATGCCTATAATCTCAGCACTTTGGGAGGCTGAGGCAGGTGGATCACCTGAGGTCAGGAGTTCGAGACAAGCCTGACCAACATGGTGAAACGCCATCTCTGCTAAAAATACAAAAATTAGCCAGGTGTGGTGGCGCCTGCCTGTAATCCCAGCTACTCAGGAGGCTGAGGCAGGAGAATCGCGTGAACCCACGAGGTGGAGGTTGCAGTGAGCCAAGATCACGCCACTGCACTCCAGCCTGGGCGATAGAGCGAGAATTCATCTAAAAAAAAAAAAAAGTAAAATGAAATTCTGCATTTTTTATAAAACTTGATAAAAAATAGTATTTCAAACTACTGTCACCAGAAGTACACAGTTATAAAAAATACACACACTTCACTTGGCATCTCCAGCACTTTCAGCTTTCTGTGCCCCGTCTGTTTTAGCATCTCCATTTTCTGCAAGGTTATTCCCCTCCTTGCCAGCATAAGCTTTTCCCTTTTTCCCTTTGGGTACCTTCTCTCCCTTCTTTGCAGGGGCCTTTTCAGGCTTGGGCTCTGGCGTTGGAGGAGCAGGTTTAGCAGACAACCTCATGGGTCTTCTCTGTGGTTCGTTCTTCACCTTGGCTTTATCTCCTTTAGCATCCCCTTCACCCTTTCTCTTGGGCATGGTGGTGGCAACGGTGGCAGGAGGTAAGCACTTGGCACAGGATGCAGTGGCATGCAGGCTTTGGTCAGTCCGGGGTTCGTTCTCGCGTCTTCTTCTTCACGTTGCTCTCTATTTGGCATTCTTTTGTATTCACAGAATACGTGATGACGAACAAATGGTTCTAGACAGATGATTTGTAAGTTTTAGACCTAGATCCCAACTGATTAAGGCCTTGTGTCCATGGGATCCCATTCCTCGTTGGTTTTTCTGTTGTTAGAGCCATCTTTATAATTCACATGCTATTATGCAGAGTTAGAAAATGCATTATTTGCAATAGTGGGTTTTCTCCCATGTTTTAAAATGGTCTCAGCCACAGAAAACTAATGAATAAGGGCCCTTGCTACTGCATATCTGTTAAGTAGATAGTTTGTTTTTAGCCATGTAGCTTATTTTGGGTTAACATTACTTATGATTTAAAATTGAAGAAGTAAAAATGTTATATTTGTTTGCAGTATTTCTGTATTTGAGGAAGTTGCAGTCATAACTTGATTGATGGGACTTCCTTCTGTGTTCATTTTTTAAGCTAGCTATAAAATGGTGAGAAACGTTGACCACGATGTATGTACTACTTAATGCCTTCTTTGTTTAAAATGGCTGTGCAAATATTTTTCTTAGGCTTCTAAAAATATTAATATTTAAATGATTTGGGTAAATAGATGAGATACGGCATGATCTTTTAATATAGTAGTGTTTTCCTGCAATATTATGATCCATGGTTTTAATTACTAAGTGCATTGCTATAAATTTGCTAGGCCTTCACTTCCTAACTGGTCCTACTCTCAAAATTCATGGAACGGGCAGGACACAGTGGCCTGTAATCCCAGCACTTTGGGTGGCTGAGGGAAGCAAATCACTTGAGCTCAGGAGTTCAAGACTAGCCTGGCCAACATGGTAAAACCTCGTCTCTACTAAAACAAACAAACAAACAAACAAAAATTAGCCGGGCATGGTGATGTGCGCCTGTAGACCCAGCTACTCAGGAGGCTGAGGCTGGAGAATCGCTTGAACCCGGGAGGTGAGGTTGCAGTGAGCCAAGACTGCGCCACTGCACTCCAGCCTGGGCGACAGAGCGAGACTCCGTCTCAAGAAAACAAAACAAACAAAAAAAAAAACAGACCCACAAAAAGATTCATGGAACAATTTTTGAATTTATTGACAGCTGAATAATGAATTCAGGGTTCAAAATGATACTGCACTCTCCTTTTCTGGTTGTTTGCAAAATAGCAGCCATTTGTTGAACACCCTATGTGGCAGGCAGTTTACTGGATTATGTTTAACACTTTAAAAAATACTTCTGCAAAGTATTTTTTATAGATGAGTAATCTGAGTCTCAAAAAAGGTTAAATAACTTTTCCATGGTCACAGCTGGGAGAATAGCAGAGCTGGGTTTGAACCCAGAGCTGTGAATTTCCAAAGTCCCTTCTCTTAGAGTGCTTGCCCAGCACATTTAGTTATGTTATATATGTATTTTAATAATTTTGTGTGTTTTAATAATTACTTTTAGACTATTTTATAAACCCCTTGAGCTCATTTAAACAGCTGCGCTACATTTATTTTGAATATTTTTCTTGTTTGGGAGTTTTTAAAAAATGATACTATGGGCTGGGTGCAGTGGCTAACGCCTGTAATCTCAGCACTTTGGGAGGCTGACGTGGGCAGGTCACTTGAGGCCAGGAATTTGAGACCATTCTGGTCAACATGGCAAAACCCTGTCCCTACTAAAAACACAAAAATTAGCCAGGTGTGGTGGAGCATTCCTGTAGTCCCAGCTACTCAGGTGGCCAAGGTATGAGAATTGCTTGAACCCAGGAGGCAGAGGTTGCAGTGAGCTGAGATTGCACCACTGCACTCCAGCCTGGGTGACAGAGTGAGACTCTATTTAAAAAAAAAAAAAAGTATGGATTTCCATGTTATTCTTATATACTTAATTTATACAGTTGATTTATTTTTTTCTCTTCCAAATTAATTTCTACAAGAATGTTGGTTCATGCCAAGGGTTTCTTTATTCAGTATCTACTATTAAATATGTGACTGTTTTTCTGTATTAAGGCAGCACGATTACCCAACAAAATCTCTTACCCTTCCTCAAATGTAAATTCTGCCTGTTCAGCAGCAGCAGAAGCTCTGCATTGTTTTCTGTTGGAAGTGTGAGCTGAAGGGGACAGACATTCCTACTGCTTAGCGGGTGCACTAAACTGTGATTTGCCCTTGTTGTATTATCAACGGCACAATATTTTTATGTTGCAGATGGCTGAGAGCTAGCAAGGAAAACTCAGGACCATGATGGCTCAGTTTCCCACAGCTATGAATGGTAAGCAGCTTTGTGCTTGTGGCAAGATGAGGTTATGGATTTTTTTTTTTTTTGGTAGAGGTTTAAAATATTCATGTAGATAATTTTCCTTAAGTGTATAAATACAAAACTTGA